>NC_000003.12:123857089-124008604 GCF_000001405.40 Homo sapiens | reverse complement strand
ACAGTTTTTAAATGGGCAAAATATTTGAAGAGACACTTCATCAAAGAAGATATATGAGTGGCAAATAAGCACATTAAAAATACTCAACATGATTAGTTGGTGTTGAGCATTAGTCATCATGCAAATAAACCACAATGAAATACCAATGCACAGTCACTAAAATGGCAAGAAATTTAAAAGACTGACCCTACCAACCCTTGACAAGAATGTGGAAACAACTGGAATTCTCCTATAATGCTCTTCAGAATGTAAAATGGTACAACCACTTTGAAAAAGAGTATGGCAGTCTTTCTTTCTTTCTTTCTTTCTTTCTTTCTTTCTTTCTTTCTTTCTTTCTTTTCTTTCTTTCTTTCTTTTTAACAGACTTTTGCTCTTGTCACCCAGGCAGGAGTGCAGTGATGCGATCTCAGCTCACTGCAACCTCCACCTCCTGGGTTCAAGCAATTCTCCTGCCTCAACCCCCCAAGTAGCTGGGATTACAGGCGCATGCCACCACACTGAGCTAATTTTTATATTTTTAGTAGAAATGGGGTTTCACCATGTTGGCCAGTGTGGTCTTGAACTCCTGACCTCAGGTGATCCACCTGTCTCAGCCTCCCAAAGTGCTGGGATTACAGGCATGAGCCACAGCACCCAGCCAGCAGTTTCTTAAAATGTTAAACATACACCTGTCATATGACCCAGCCATTGGACTCCTAAGTATTCAAGGAAATTAAAACGTATGTCCACACAAAAGCTTATATATGAATGTCTATAGAAGCTTTAATAATAATAGCCCAAAACAAATGTCCCTCAGCAAGAGAAACAAAATGCCTTATATTCATACAATGGAATACTATTCAGCAGTAAAAACAAATAAATTATTGATATGTCAATAACATGAATGAATCTCAAAATAATTATGCTGAGTGGAAAAAAGCCAGACACAAAAGAGTACATACTAAACAATTCTATTTATATAAAATTCTGGAAAATGTGGCTTGCCTGAAGTGACACAAAGAAAATCAGTAGTTCTATGATGCTAAGAGCAGGAGGCAGGATGGACTGCAAACATATACAAGGGAACTTTTTGGAATGATGAAAATGTTTCATGTGGTAATAATGGTGCTTTCCCAGAGGTATGCATCTGTCAAAAGTCATTATATCACACAAATTTGTAAAGTGGCAAAGAGGAAGTTAAAGCAGAGAAGGAGTTGGAAGCTGAGCCGAGAGAGCCCCTCACGTGTCCAGGGAGGTTTAGCAAAAACCTCAGGCTGGAAATAGACTAGACTGAGTTCCAGATAGCTGTAGTCAGAAGAAGGGTGATCTCACTGGTGATAAAGACCACTCAATGGTGAGCCACACACACAACCTTCTTGCCTGGAGGGCTTTCCTCTTCCCAGCCGTATCTGTCCTGCTGGTAAGACGCTCTTCCTTCAATAATTATTTTTTTAACTTTTCCCTGCTCATTCTGCATTTACAGCATGGTTTCCACTAAGTCATCTATGTAGCATTTCCTTTCACAGCTAGTTGTTGCCCATTGCATATCACTTTTTAAGTCAGATATTACCAAGCATTGGCAAAGAGGTGGGGAAAGAGAGCCCTCACCCACTGCAGGTGCACCATTCTGAGGGACAATTGTGCACCTTAAATCCACCAAGCCCACTCCTGGGTATACACCTGGGGAAATTCTTCCCAGGGAACACAAGATGTTCCTAACAAGCTTCACCACCACCCTGCTGGAGACAACCTAGGTGTCCATCTCTAAGGAATGTACAGGCAAAATGTAATATGTGTACACAATAGGAAAATGAACTGTATTTTCATTTAGAAACCTGGATTGATCTCAAAAATGGAGTTAAGAAAAAAAAAGCAAAAACAGAATGGGATTTATAGCACAATTCCATTTATGTATCAAACACACACATAAGGCAGCCTTGTATATTTTTGTAGGGACGCTTATATATCTAAATAAACATCTGTTGGATGGATTGGAAGAACTATATTAAATGTATTAGAGTGGATGCCTATGGGAGGAGGGCAGTGGAATTAGGAATGATAGATGAAGTGGAAAAAACAATAAACCTTTAAAAATGTTTTCATAAAAAGGTTGGTTCTTCTATGATGATAGTATGATAATATTCCACAAACTGAGAAGCAGGATTACCTCAAACATGTACACCTGAATTCCAAAAGATATACAAAAGAAAAAAATTAGATGTAATTCTAGCTTTTTGTCTGTTTTTCATATTCAAAACAAATGAGCTGTTTCTTGCTTTGTGGGTTTTCTATTGTTGCCATACAAATTACTACACACTTAATAGCTTAAAACAACATAAATTTATTGTCCTACAGTTCTGTAGGTAAGAAGTCTACCACATGTCTTATTGGGCAAAAATCAAAGTGTTGGTAGCACTGCGTTCTTTTCTGAGGGCTCTAGGAGAGTTTCCTTGGCTGTTCCAGCTTCTAGAAATCACCCACATTTCTCAACTCATGGCCCTCCTCCTCTGTCTTCAAAGCCAGCAGGGGCAGTGCTAGTCCTTCTCACATCTCCTTCTCTGACTCTGACCTTCTCTTCTGCCTCCCTCTTTCACTTTTCAGGACACTTGTGATTATATGGGGCCCACCTGGATCACCCAGGACACTCTCTCTATCTTAAAATCAGCTGCTTAGCCACCTTAATTTTATCTGCAACCTCCACTCCCCTTTGCCCTGTAAGGTAACATATTCACAGGTTCTAGGGATTAGGACATGGACATTTGTAGTCTGTTATTCTGCCCACCACACCTGAGCATATGTCAAATACTGAAAAATACAAAACCACGTATTCTTTCTCATTGTGAAGAAGTTATTCAGCCAAATGACAAAAGATATGTTGATGCTACTGTGTGCTAGATCCCCATGGTAAAAGCTGAAGTTACAGTAGCGGTCAGGAGTTGGGGGTTTGGTGATCCCTCCCTTGCAAAAAAGATTCCCATTCTGGTATATTTTAGCTAAAGGATAAATGAGAAGTATTCTGATTAAGCTATCTCATTACAATGTAAATGACTGGCCTATAGAAGAGATACTTACGTTCTTTTCAAAAGAAGCACCCTAACCCAGGGCCTTTTAAACTTTAATGGACATACAAATTGCCTGGGAATCTTGTCAAATGGAGTTTTGATCCAGTAGGATTGGCATGAGGCCTGAGCCTGCTTTTTCACAAACTTCCAGATGATGCTAATGCTACCTGTCCAGGGCTGTACTTCTGTTTGAGTTAGAGAACAAGACCCTAACTCAAACAGAGCTCCAATTATAAGCCATAGTCAGTCTGACGCTGCCATCAATCAATCTTTATGATGGGTTTACCCCTTCTAAGAGGTGACGGTAGTCAACCAGCTTTGCAAAACACCACACTTTGTCACTGTGACAAAATACCCCCAGCAGAGAGGATACTTTGTCTACTAGGAATGCCCTCGGTTTCCCACAAGGATGGTTTCTGACCAAGACCCACATTCATCCCCAGATATGGGTGTGCTGTATACAATCCTTGATAGGATAGTGAGTCTCCTGTTTCCCTGGCCAGGACTCCTAACCTCCAAGACTGATGCCCCCCAGACAGTGTGACCCAGTGGCCGTGTCTGAATTCATATCTATTCTCAGAAGTGTATTTGATTGGGCAAAATCAGGACTACATTGGGACAGATTACCCGAGCTATTTGAGGAGTACCTTACTAGATCAAGTTATAAAGGCTGACAAGATTCAACATTATCTCCCTACTAGTGTTTTGCATACTAGTTCCATTAGGGCTGAGAAATAGATGAGTAGAAGACAGAGCAGAAGCAATAGAATCTCCATAGGTAAGTTGGGTTCTCTTTATGGTGACCTCAAAGGGACTCTGGCCAAAGAAACCATCTTAATAAAGCTCAAGGACCAATGGGAGGACACATTATTGCATCAAGGTGAATTGATAATGTAATTTGTAAGGTAAAAGAATGTAAGTTCCTATATATACCATGTGGCTGTTCCTGATTAATGAGTTTGGACAGTACCACTTCATACTACACTTTTGAACGTTGATGTGCTTGGGTGTTCTCTGAGCTGTGACTTCCCCAAATCCTTGTTTGGGCTGCAAAACTTTGATCACTTTGGGGCAACAAAGCAGAACCATACCTGCAGTTCCACACCTTCTACTTACAAAATAACTAGGTGCATCTCATCTCCTCGGCAGAGTGCTATTGTAACATTTCCCCTGAGAATTCCTTGAGGAACCTCCATTTTATGGCATCTATAGGCCTTCTTCCCAAATTATTCTGGGTAGGTAGCTGCTAAAAACCCTCTTGTATGAACAAACACTGTGGGAGCTCCCCCACTCAAGCAGCACAGATCCAAAGTTGGTACCCCTGCAATAGAGCAATGGTGGGAGGCATGGATCGCTGCCAGGTGGAGAGGAGACATATTCTGACTATAGCAGGACTTAAAGCTGTCAATTCATCCAGCATCTCAGCTGAATGACCTCCATGACAGCTGTTTCCTATTGTAGAACAAATTAAGTTAGGGGGTCACTATTCTTTCTCACCCTAAGTATTCATTCAAGTATTAAAGTGTAGAACTTTACATCAGGCAGCAGCTTTTAAAACATAGAGTCTAATACCCATCATTTTGCAGATCTGAAAAAAAATGAAGACTAGCTATGAAGCCCCAGGAAACCAGCTTACCCTCCCACCCTTCTGTTTACATCGCACTCCCACCTCTATGCTTTTTACCACTTTCATACTTTTTATTTCCTCCTTCCCTTTCACTTAACTTGGAATGATGGCTCCTGAATTTCTTGCCTCCACCAAAACTGGATGGATGGCTTTTCTCCCTCTGCTGAAGGGAAGAAAGCTGTGAAAGTCTACAGATAAAGGAAGTAAATAGACCAAGATTAAACAGGCAGTTCATGGAAGAGATGATATCCAAACCCAGCTCACAGAGGCTAGTCAGGTGACTTGTTTGAGGTCACATATCTAGTTGATGGCAATGCTGGGACCAGAACCCACCTCCAACTTCAAGACTTTTTCCCACTAAGGCTTCCTCAACCACAGGTAGAACACCCTTCCCCATACGTGATGAAATGACACCTCATTACAGATTCAAAAATACCTTTGAAGATATTCGCCTTGAAAGGTGAAGGCCAAGTTTCACCTTGAAAGCTGAAGGTCAAGGTCTGCTTTGGGGAAAAGGGTAAATGGAGCTACCTGGGAATGTTACTGATCAGGCCTGGGTCTTTTATCTCACAGTCACATTAGCCTTCCCACCTAATTCCATTTTTAGGGTTTAAGCTTTTTAATTCTTTTCCAACCCAATCCCTGTCTGGCCATGTGTTGTTACTATCTTGTTATTTCAAGTTTCTCTCCAGCTGGGTAAATCTTCATTCTGTGTCCTAGCCCTGGGCTTTTCTCTTTGGTTTCCTCTCATCTGCCCGGGAGGCCAGCTTACCCTCCCACCCCTCTATTCACATCTCACTCAACTCTTCCCACTTCTATACTTTTCACCACTTTCATACTTTCTCCTTCCTCCCTTCCTTCCACTGCTCTTGGAATGATGGCTTCTGAATTTTTTGCCTTCACCAAAACTGGATGACTTCTCCCTCTGCTGAAGGAGGTGGGGGCGGGGGGTGGGGGGAAGCCGTGAAAGCCCAAAAATGCCATCTTTCATCTCACTTTCTATTTGTAGCACATATTCTATTTATAATTCTGCCTCCCTCATAGCAGATTGACACAGCACTCTGCTTAGTTCCCAGAATAAATGCAATTCAAGAATGAGAGGCAAGTCCAGGCTCCCAGGATTCTTCTGCAGTCAGGCATTTGTTAGGGTTTTTTTCTGCTAGCATTTGAGGAGTGTCTCTGCTGGTAGCCCTGCTTCTCTGAACCCATCTTCTACTGTCCTGAAAATGCCTTCCATACAGGATTTTCTTCATGGCAGATTTTCTTTCCTGAACATGTCTGGACTAAGCTTATATCAAAGGCAGCTTTTATTCCCCACACATACATTGACTATGCCATAAAAGATATTTAAATATTTGTTGGATAAACAAATGACTACTGGCATATTAAATGATAAGTCATAACCTGAGTTTGTGGAAGCCAATCTGGAATTATAGTTAATCCACAAAGTAAACAATACATGTAAAAATTTACATTTTCAAATTAAAAACCAATTTTATATGATACTCAATATCTCTGATGTCCCCATAAGCAAATCATTATAAAACCTGAAGGAAGGAGCAACATTTACAGAGTAACTTCCACCTTAGGAATTGTTTTTTCCTTAAATAATTTTATTTATTCTACAACTTGTGAAATACGTATTATTATCCCTACTTTGTAGGCAACAAAACTGAGACCCATGCAAGTTGAGTAGCTTAGCCTAGGTAACAGAAGAAGTAAGTGGCAAAAAATGAATTAGACCCAAGTTTATCTGACTTCAAAGCTCACTTTAAAAACCAAAAGAGGACGTGGGATCTTTGAACACAGCATCTGATGTAGCACATGCTGATGACTTCTGGTGCAGACTGTGTTCCCCTTGACTATTTCTTTCCTGCTTAGCACATAGCAGATGCTCAAACAAATAGTTGTTGAATTAAATTATTGAATGTACCACTTAGACTCAAAGTTCCTTAATCTGGTAGTATGCTAATATTCAGGGCTTGATATAGACACTTTAGAAGCAACCCAGCATCAAGTTTTGGAAGGTTATCCTGTGGAGATGCACAGGCCAATGTTCTCTGTCTTGTCTTCATCAGGGAAAACAGACATGGGATGATGACTTTACTAGGCAATATGTAGGTATGAGCTAAGGGAAACATGGTAAAACACTGGATCAAGCTGCTGAGGAAGACAAAATATTTTGTCTGCAGATGCCTGTCACTCTCGGATAAGCCAGGCTTGAGTGGCTGCAGAGGCACCAGGAGCTGTTCTTCTGCATTTGTGGCAACAGTAAGAAGAGTCTCCTAGCAGAAACTGACCTTGTTCTATAGCATCCTCTCCATGGTAATGTGGAGTCGTTAGTTCCCTTCATTGCTCTCTGATGCGTAGCTTTAATCGTATCTTTGCTTTTATGTAGAGAATAGATTCATGTTCCCAAGAGGATAGCTAGGAAAACCCACTGCCAGCCTCGAATACAAATAGGAACCTGCAGAAACTGCTGCTTCATGAGTGGGCACAGGGAAGAGGAGATGAAAGAGGACAACAACCTCCAAAGGTCTGAGGTTCAGGCATGGAGGCATCACGGTTCCTCTTGCCCCCTTCTAAGGATTGCAAACAGGGGCAATTGTATTCAAAGGAAAATGAGAAAATTGCCTTCTGGGGGATGTTGTGTGGTGCTGGAAAGCAACCATCCCCCCAAAAAGCTGTTCCTCACCCATACAGGAGCTCCCATGGCTGAGGGACAGCTAATACCACTGTTGACATAATTATCTATTACTTTCCTCAATTTTTTATGCATGTTTCTTCATACCTGAGATCATACTGTATAAAAATTCTGCAATCTGCCTTTCCAGTTAACATTGTAGCTTGTAAGCATTTGAGGGGAGGATATTACAAAATCCAGCCATTTTACAGTTGAGGGAGACATCAGGCAGAAATAGCAGCAATGACAGGCACTCCTGGGCTGGCTCCCAGGAGGTCAAATAGTCCTATCCCACCCATGGTATGGTGCACCCATTTATACAACCTCATGAAGCAGTTGGCAGTGGTTGGCTCCTGGAGGTATGATCAAGGGAGTAGTTTTTTAAAAATCTCTCAAATTCTTATATTTTTCAAAATTTCATAATAAACCAGTATCACTTTTATAGTCAGAAAAAATATTTTAAAGATGTTTCCTTCCTGCTGCCAAGAAAGCAGCAAGGCATTAGAATCTGAATCAAGGCAGAAGAGCAAGTTACCCAGGCTCATCTCACCATGCTTGAGGCTCCCCATCTATGGAATGGGGACAGTGGTCACCCTGGACCCTCCCAGAGTAGAGACTGTAACACTATCTGTCACATATGGAGAAGGTGATGTCAACTCTAGGACAAGGTGAAGAGATGAGCAGCCCATGTTTGGGAGGTGCCCAAGCTTTGTGGTCCATAGCTGCCCACCCCTCCAAAGCCCTCCAAAGCCTCTCAGAGGAAGAACAGGAATTTGCCTTATTTATGATTATAACCTCCCAACTCAGCCATCATTCAGAACAGATTGGCACCTTGGTATCTTTAGACCCTGAAAAAGGAGTTAAGATACATTCTTTTCCCACTGCTCGCAAACAGGGCCAACTCATTCATTAGGCACAGGAGACACAGTAGCTAGGGACCAAAATACTCTTAGGGGTACACAAGATGTTTTAACATATTATATTCATGTATTTGCCATTATTCCAAAACAGTCATAAAATATGATTTTTCATTTTCTTAATGGAGGAAAAGGTCCAAGAAGGCAAAGTGCCTTCTGCCCACAAAAATCACAACATGGCCCTCGTCACTTAGCCTATATTTCAGCTTCATATTTGCCAAGCCTTTCCATGAAATTATCAAGGTGGACTATGAACCAAAATGTCTACTATTCCTCTCTAATCATCTCGTTCATCATTCTGGTAAAGAGGAAACAGACTTTGGGTGTAGATTTTTGGCATGAAAATAACCAGAGTCCTGAGGTTAAACGGAGACCCTCACAGCAGAATTAGGCAGATGGAGACATATTTGGCAGAGAGCAGAAGAAAAACCTTTTTAAATTGCTCCCACAAAAACCATTACAACACTGACGGATAAGACGCAATAACTCTAGGAAATGATCTGGCATTGGCCCCTTTTCCTAGGAATAATTGTCCCTCATTCCTTAGGATAACATTTCTGTGAAATGTGAACATCCCTTTCATAATTTCATAACTCTGGTCCTTTTAAAATTAGAGTTATAAATAAATAAGTATAATTTGCAAGCCATTTGATTACATCCCTGTACTTTACCAAGATTCCCTAAGAAGACACATCACTTTTTACGTCATTAAATATTTAAATAAAAACTAATTGAAGTGAATCGTGGGACAGAAAGGCATTTATGAAGCACATGTTTGATGCAGCAGCGGGCTTTAGATGTAGGGAGCACATAGAATATTTGCTCCCTGCAGACGAGGCATAGCATAACGCAGCAAAGGGCTTTGGAGGGAGGGAATACAGGTTTCAAGGAAGGAAGCCAGTAGAGAAATCCCCAGTTTTACTTAGAGTCCCTCATGCAGCATATTATTATAATTTTCATTGGTAAACATTGATTGAGCACAACACTATGTGAAGAGAGTGGAAATGTTGTATTAAATAGCCCTGACCCACAGGAGTTCGCAACATGGTTAGAAACCATGAAAATACTGGATGTAAGTGGATCAGAGCAATATCAAGGTGTACATGCTGAATGACAGAGGAATGGTCCCAACTGTAAGTTTTGTATGAGATCCAAGAGAAGAGAAACTCCTCAAGTGACTGAGCATCATTGAGGATCCAGCAGGAAGCAGATGGCATACTAGAGAGAGTTTAACTAAGGAAATATTTACTGAAGAATGGGCAGAGTTGAGCAAATCAATCACAGTGGTGAACTTAGGGACTAGCAATTGTGGGAAGCCATTACCACCCCTAGACCTGAAAGGGCAAGGGAGGAAATGATGATATTGGAGCCACATGAGAACTGATTCCATGGAAGATGAGGTGCTAGACAGTAGCTGAGGCTATGGAGGCAAGGCAAGAAGCTCAGTTTGGGAGCTGGGAAATAAGTACCCAATGTCTGATCACCTGCTGATACCTCCAATAGGCCAAATCCAACCAGTTACTAGAGAGCAAGGAAGCCCAGGAGATACAATTCTTGTGCAGATACCAGGTTAGAGAAGACTACAGAGTGGACCTAGCGGGACAAATGGAGACTAGCCCAGCACACAGGCTGGAGAGCTTGCTATGGGCCTTAAGAGAAACGGAAGATACATTGGCATAGAAAAGGAAGGGGGAGATCATCTTAAGCAGAAGTAGACATGTGCATATAGGAAATGGGAAATAATGTTTTTCCAGTGAGGAGGCAATATGCGCACAGTGCATTTTCTTAAGAAGAGTAAGGGTATATCATTCAGGAAGCTTGGAGGAATTGACATAGGTCAGAGTTTCTTTATCCCAGCACAACTGACATTTGGGGTAGGATAATTATTTGTTGGGGGGACTGTCCTCTCTTTTGTAGGATGTTTAGCAGCAGCCCTGGCCCCTACCCTCCATATGCTAACAGCAGGCTATTATCACACTCCCACTTGTGATAACCAAAAATGTCATCACACATTGCCACATGTACCCTAGAAATGCAAAACTACCCCCAAGTTGAGAACCACTGGGAGAGGAAACGGAGGAGACCGTGATCAGAAAACCACTGAAACACAGGGTGAATGTAAGATGCTAAGGGCTTAGATCAGTGTGGAGCAGTGACACTGGCAAGAAATGGACAAAGGCACGGTACCTGTAGGTGAGAAGCATATGGGCTGTGTGAGGAGAGGCAGAGGGGAGTGGCTAAGGGTGATTCTTAGCTTTGTAGTGGGGTAAGAGGGAGGAGGATGTCTCCACTGACAGCACTATGAATGTCTGAGGCTGGCCCTGGGGAAGATGATGTGCCCTTTGTGAACTTGTTTGAATGAGGTCCAGGACATTTGGACAAGGGACTGAGTTGAGCAGGGAGGTTGAGACTTTAGGTGTAGATTTGAGTCATCCACGCAGACAGCTAGCTGGAAAACTTCTATCCTTAGGAGGATAGGAATTCTCATGAAGGGAAGACAGAGAGAAAACCAAGGACTGAGGAGGTTTTCTTTTCTTTTCTCTCTCTATTTTTTTTTTTTTTTGTGTGTGTGTGTGTGATGGTGGGGAGCAAGGGAGTGTTGTGCATATTTAGAAGATGAATAATGTGGAACAGAAATAGAAGGCTCTGGAGGCAGGAAAACCAGGCAGTTTTCTGAGGGGTGAGAGTGGGCTGAAGTTCAGCTCCTACCCTACTTGTCAGGCCATATGCCCAAGGGGGTATGTCTGCCCCTGAGCGACCACCTTTTTCTAATGTATGTGAAGATGCCATACAGCCTAGGGGAGTCCTAAGTAGAATCAGGGCAGCCACAGAAGACACAGGTGTCAAGAAGGAAGGAACCGTGTCCACACAACTCACCCTGCCTCCCAGTGACAAATATTCTCCTTTCCCCCCACCCCAATCACTCAAATCCTTAAAGAAGTAGACTTTGATTAGGTAGACATTTTCATTTATGTGGAATTTTGTGGTTTGTTTCTCATAATTGAGTGGTTATAGGAGGTGTTGCTCTCCTAGGTTCTAGAAAAAGACTACACACAGAGGTAGCAGGAAGAGGAGGGGATCCAGAACCACAATGAGTAGCTGTGCTTGTCGTCTCAATGGTTTCAACTCTGAAGAGAGGTAACGGACCTTCCCATCAGTTTCTTTCATAAAGAGGCATATTGTGGTAGGCAGGATTCTAAGATGGCCTCCAACATTTCCACCCCCTGGTGTACATGCCCTGTATAATCTCATCATCGCTGTAAGTCTGGGTGAGACCTATGAATATGAGGAGATTTCATTCCTGTGATTAATATTCTGTGGCAAAAGAGAACTTTCAGATGTAATTAAGGTCCCTAATCAGTTGACTTTGAGTTAGTCAAAAGGGAGGTTATCCTGGGTGGATCTGACCTAATCCAGTAAGCCTTAAAAAACAGACAAAAGAAACAACAACAGGTGCCTCTGCTGGCCTGGAAGAAAGCAAACATCAGTGTCGTAAACTGCCATTCCAGGGCCATGGAACTACGACGTGAAAGTGGCTTCTATGAGTTGAGAACAATCCCTGACCAAAATCCAGCAAGAAAATAGGGACTTCAGTCCTACATCCCCAAGGAACTGAATTTTGTCAACAACCAATGAATATGGAAGAGGACCCTAAGGCTCATATGAGAGCACAGCCCTAGCCAACACTTGGATTTTAGCTGGGCAAGACCCTTAGCGGAGGACCCAGCTAACCCACTCAGACTCCTGCCCTGTGGAAACTGAGATCAGAAATCTGTGTTGTTTTAAGCTGCTAAGTATGTGGTAATTTGCAATGCAGCAAAAGAAAACAAATGTATATGTGAAAGGAGTTTATGTACACAGGGTTGACTGGCTCCACGGGGAGTCTAACAACCACACCCCACAGCTAAATCACAGAATTGTGCTGAACCTGAGTATGGTGTACCCATCATCACTGCTCAGCCCCAGCCTCACCATGATCCAAGCAGCAGGTGGGACAGGGTCACTCTCGTTTCCTCCTATGAAATGGCACATTTAAGATCTGGGGAAAGTGACCCACAATATAAGCCACATAGGATAGGGAGAACTGACTCTCTGAGCTCAGAGATAGTATGAGACAGTTGATATTTATTATAAGGCTGAGATGGTAAGAAGACCGTCAGGATTCCCACTCTCTGGTGCCAGACCTATGGTTACTTGGCCAGATAGAACTTTAGTCCCTAAGATACTGAACATGCAAAGCTGAATGGACACTAAAGTATCATTTTTCAGAAGGCCCTCTTAAGGAAGGAAGGGGAAACAAGGTGGAAGGAGAGAAAAAAAAGGAGAATTTAATTCAGTAAACAAATATTTATGGTACCCATTATGTGCACAGTTCTGTTCGAGGCTCTCGAAATACAGCGGTGACTAAAACAAACAGAATCGCATGCACTCCAGTGAAAAAATATAGAGAAATCAATAAAACAAAAATTTAAAAATACATAGTATGTAATGATTATAAAGCAAGGGAGGAGTTGGAAGGGATATTGGTGTTCAACTTAAAAGAGTCAGATAAGACTCCCTTAGAAGGTCACATTTGGATACAAAACCGAAGGTGCTAAGGAATGAACCCTGTGGATACCTGAGGAAATCATGTTCCAGGCAGATGAAATGCAAGTGCACAAGTCTTGAGGCAGGAGAGGGTCTGGCCTTTCTGAGGGATAATAAGATGGCCAGCATGGCTGGAGGGAAGTGATGAAGGAGAAAAGAGAAAATGATGGGTTCAGAGAGTTTAAGGGCCTGTGGGTTATTTTGACTTTTACTTGCATAAGGTGGGAGCCACTGAGGGTTCTAAACAGAGGAATGACATGATCAGTCTTAGGTTTTCAGTAATTCGATCCTGCAGCTGTGATGAGAACAGACCCCTGGAAGGGAAGGGCGGAAACAGGGAGACAGGTTAGGAAGCCATTGTAGTGGTCCGGGTAAGAGATGAAGTTTGCTTGGACCAAGGTGATGGAAGTGGAGAGAAGTGCTCCAATTCTGAATGACTTTTGGAGATACAGCCAATAGCATTTGCTCTGATTGGATTTAAGGTGTGAGAGAAAAAGCAGCCAAGGATAATGCCAAGGTTTTTAGCCTCTATGAGGAAGCCTGGAGGAACTGGTTTGGAGAGGAATCTTAGAGTGCAGTTGGGGTGTATTAAGCCTGAGAAGCCTAATAGACATCCAGTGGTGCAGAGTAAACAGTTGGATGTTCTAATGTGGTATTTAGGGAAGGATTAGGGCTGAAGACATAAATGTAGTATCCAAAACATGAAACTGGATGAGATAAAAAAGAGAGTGCATGTAGATAGAGAAGTCCAAGTGTAAATCCTAGGGCACTCCAAGATTAAAGTGCCAGGGAGAGGAGGAAGAACAAGCAAAAGAGACTGAGAAAGAACAGCCAATGAGGAAGGAGAAAAACCAAGAGTCTAATGTCCTGGAATCCAAGGAAAGAAAATGTTTCAAGCATGTGAAAGTGATCAACAGGGTCAAAGGCTGCTGATAGGTTGAGCCGAGGCTGAGAGATGATTTTGGATTTAACAGCATGTCATTGGGGACTTTAACACAAGTCATTTCAGTAGAGTGGTGGGGATGAAAGCCTGGTTCAAGTATATTAAAAAGAGATTTGGAAGAGGGAAATTAGAGGTGGCAGGTATAGGCAACTCTTTTAAAGAGCTTGGCAATAAAGGGAAGCAGAGAAAATGGTCAAAGCTGAAGAGGAAAATGATGAAGGCATGTTTTTATGTTGATGGGAATTATCTAGTAGAAAAAGGGAAATGATGAGAAAGGATATAGTCAATATTCGTTCGTACAAGAAAATAGCAGAAAACAGTGTAACCTACTTGATAAAAGATTGTATGTAATAAAAGATTTTATTGTAATATTTAAGACAGATTTTTTACTGAAACATAATAAACACCCATGAACCCATCACCCACCCCAAAACTAGACCACTACCAGTAACATCTATGTGCTCCTCCCTCTCTACTCTTACCTCTGTTTTAGAAGAAAGCAACTTTCCTGAATTATGTTATTATCATTTTCCTGTAAAATTGTATTCTCTTGACTGTATCCTGTTATATTTATTGACTAACAGATCAAGGATAATCTAACCTAGGCCTCTCAACCTGGCCTCCTACAGACAGACATCAAATCGCCTCAGTCAGACAGTCCCATGAAATTCCTCCCTTGTGTTTAACTTGCTACACTAAAATTCTATTCTGTTTCATCTCCCATCTCTAGCTGCTAGTGCTTTGTCTGAAAAACCCCTTCTTCTGCACAAAGATCATTATTATTCACTCCTGTCAGCATTATTTACTCTGCATGAAAGCAGGAAGAGATTGGCACACCTTTATCCCATGTGCATACAACAGAACAGACCCCAGTGGCCAGAGCATTCTTGTTATCCTGGAAGATGCACCTGCAGCCCTCAAGCCTCCAGCCTCCCCCTCCCAACCTAAGGCACACCCTGTTTGTCAAGTGCCTATACCAACACCTGGCAGCCCCTCCACAGAGGCCTCAGAAAGGCAGGTGATAGCTAGTGACTAGGTTTCTTTCATCCCCAGATCTTGCCCTGTGGGCAGTGGCCATCCCCAGACCATCCAGGATTCTCCAGGTGTGCAAGGACCTACAGGATTTTGACAAATGCCAGCAGAGTGGCCTCTTTACAAATGGATGACAACAGGCTGTGAAAAGCTTTCTGCATGCGTAACCCAAAAATCTAGTTCCCCCACTTGTTCACTGATGCTTAAAATTGCTTTAGGGAGAGACAAAGGCTTTCATCTCACAAACAGAGAAAGCTTTGAAGGGCCTGGGTGAACTAATCTATTTAGACTAATACACACTGTTGTATAAATGGAATGAAGGATTAGATGATGCAATGGGCCCCTTTAAAATAGGTGTGAAGTGACACGGGATGTAGCAGAGAAAGATGGGGCTTTTCTTGCCTCCTTGGGTGCTTAAAACGAACAGTCTTGAGACCAGGTGCGGTAGCTCAAACCTGTAATCCCAATACTTTGGGAGACCAAGGCAGGTGGATCACTTGAGCCCAGGGATTCAAGACCAGCCTGGGCAACATGGCAAAACCCCGTTTATAAAAATATAAAAATTAGCCTGTCATCGTGGCAAGCACCTGCAGTCTCAGCTACTTGGGAGGCTGAGGTGGGAGGATTGCTTAGACCTAGGAGATTGAGGCTGCAGTGAGTCATGATTACCCCATTGCACTCCAGCCTGGGCAACAGAGCAAGACCCTGTCTCAAAACACACACACACACACACACACACACACACACACACACACACACACACACACAGTCTTGAAACCGGAAGACCTGGAGTAAAGTTGGGCCCTGAGCCCTACTGCCAGCTGTTCGATCACAGGCAAAATTACTCGAAGCCTTGAGCCTGTTTTTTATTTCCAAAGCGAAGGTAATACCTACCTTCAGAGTTTACTGTGAAACTTTGATGTCATCATGTTTGTAAAAGTGCCCTGGCACAGTGACCACATTCTACCCTATAAATATTTTCTATCTTTCCCTGTTGTCCCCAGGCATCTCAGGCTCTGTTCCTATCCACTCCATGCCCCTTTCTTAGCATTATAAGGTCAAGAGTGAGGAATCTGGGACCACGCAACCCAGATTCAGATCCTGACTCTGTCACTTGCTGACTGTCATCTTGGACAAGTTTAACCTCTCTGTGCTCAGTTCCCTCATCTGTAAAAATGGGGATAACAATAGTACTTGCCTCATGGGGTGACAGTAAGGATGAAATGAGTTCATGTGTGTAATGCACTTAGAACAATTCCTGGCACCAAAAACTCATTGTAAGAAGTGTTGTTACTATGATTCCTGAGGAATTCTCACCTGTCCACTTTCCACAAGCCGAAAGATCAAGCTCCACTTCTGCCCTCTCACCTACAAAAGCGCACCGTCAATGGCTACACATTCCGCCCCACCCCCAACGCCCCCAGCCCGGGTTTCCTAACGTCCCCAGCCCAGTCCTTAACCCTCCAGGCCGTCTGGTCCTTCCACCACCAGCAAAGCCCAAAACAGCTTTCAGCGTCCCCTAGCAGCGCCCTAGCGGGACCCTGGGAACCCGCCGCTGCAGGAGAGGCGGGGCGGCTCTGTGACGTCGCGCCCGGCGCTACCCCTGGTGACCTGGCAGCGGAGCCCGCGCAGGGTTTGCCAGGCGAAGGCGGAGCGCTAACGTCTAACGCTAACGGCGGTCGTGCCCCGCCGCTGCTGTCACCCCCGGCCGCTGCTGCCCTCCCCGCCGAGGTTCTACTGCTCTCCTTCTTAAGAAGGGTGGGAGGCACTCGGTCTCTCCCCACACCTCTCGCCTGAGGCCAGGCGCCAGGTGTCGCCTGAAGCCAGACAGCCGGTTTGGGAGCGAGCCTGAGGTAGCCACCCCGAGGGGAAGTGGAGGGAGGGCAGGGCTCTGAGCGCCCCGAGGGCTGCGCTGGTCTGAGGGAGGAGCCCTGCCGGACGCCCCCTGGATTCTGAGCCTCTCCTTGTTCACAGGGCAAGGGGAAGGCAAGGGGATCTTCAAGAGAATGTGACTGTGGGGGATTATGGCTTTCTGGCCAATTTGTGTGCGTATTTTGTACCCAGAATACTATTATACGGTTTCTTACCCGGAGGACAGTGGTTGGGAGGCTCAAGAGTTTGGAATCAGAGCCCTCCACCGAGGAGCCACACCTCTGCTTTTTCATCAGCGACAGGGATATAAAAATACCTCTGGGTGAATTGTCATGTGGATGTCATGGGCATACCTAGCACTTCATAGACTCCTATCACACATTATTTTATACCTAGCACTTCATAGACTCCTGTCAGGCATTATTTTATACCTGGCACTTCATAGACTCCTATCACATATTATTTTATACCTAGCACTTCATAGACTCCTATCACGCATTATTTTATACCTAGCACTTCATAGACTCCTATCACGTGTTCATTTTATAGCTAGCACTTCATAGACTGCTATCACGCATTCATTTTTACTAGTACCTATTGAACACTAAGTTCCAGGCACTGGGCTAGGCACTGGGATGGTGTGGTGAGCAAAAACTGACCAGTCCTGCCGTGGAGTTTGCTGGGGGAGACACATGTTACTCAAAGAATCACACTAAGGATAGGTAAGTGATGCTCTGGAAGGGTATGTACAATGGAACTGACAGGGTAATCAGGGAAGGTTAAGCAGACCTCCAAAGGAAGAATCAACCTGTTAAGAGGAGGAGAATGTATTCCAAACAAGAGTAACCACATCCCAAACCCACCATCTCCAATTCCAAACCCAAACAGGGATGTGCAGTTGCCTGTGCTTGGTTCCAAGTGATACTCATAGAAACCCTCTGAGATTCTGCCCTGGAGCCTTTCATTCATGTTACTGGAGACTTTCATTTATGAAACGGAAGCCCTGTTTAGCCCATACCAATAAAACCAAGTGAGAGATCCCTGAAACAAGGCTATAGTCTATTTTAAGACCTACATTCTTCAGCACTTGGCAGGTATATGTTGGCCTCCATTTTACATTGAGAGGCATGTAGGTTTCACTTAGGAGGAAATGCATTGAATTGAAAGAGTTGGGGTTATGGATAAGCTCTGGAATGTATAATTGAAGAAGACCTACACTATCAAGAGATTTAAAAATGGAAAATAACTTTACAAAATGTTAGAATTGAGGAATGTTAAGATAGAATGGACCTTTCTCCCACTTCTTTGATGTGAACAAATGACCCTTATTGCCCAAAGGCAGGAAAGCTGGGCTTTGGTGCCTCTTCAACTCAGAGAGTCTATGATTTCAACTCTGTGATTCAAAAGTGCATGGAACTCCTGAAAGTAAATGGGAACATGGGGGGATAATTTGACCTGACCCTCCTTTAGTGTTTTCTATTTCTACAAGGGTACCACCACTGTGCACCCAGTCATCCAAGCTTGAAAACTGATAGTCACTCTAGACTTTTCTGTCCTTCACCTCTTCCTCCTTCTCCACCTTCTCTTCTTCCTCCTCCTCCACCTCCTCTTTTCTTCCTCCTCCTCCTCCTTCAGTAGTTACCAAATCCTGTAGATCCTATCTCCTAAATACTTGTCTCTTATATCACTCCCTATTGCAACTACTTTTCAAGGCAGTGAAGCTCCTGGGAGTTGTCAAAAGTGCTGCCATATTCTCCTAACCTGGCTCCCTGCCTGAAGCTTCACCATCCTCTCTTCAGCTCATCCACACAGCTGTCAGTCAACGTGTTTCAGAGTCCAACAAAGAGAAATAAATCATATAGTAATTTTTTGAGCATATAATTTAACAAGAGAAGTTCAATATAAAGAATTGTTAATGATGGGATTGGAGTAATGAAGGATTGGCTAATATGTCAGGAGAGATCTAAAATATACAGGAATCACAGATATAAGGGGCAACCACTACCCCTGAGATAGATCACCCAAGGAAGAAACCTTTCCCAGAGCTTGGTGCATAGGGGATGGCCACAGCTGACTGGAGAGCAGAGAAATTGCTGAGGTGCCAGGCAGGCAAAATTTACTCTCTGAAACACCAGAGAAGCCATTCACTAAAAGGTAACTCACTGACAGCACTCTGCTATAGAGCTTCCCAAGAGAGGTGCCAGGGGACACTGCTAGCCATGGAGCACTGATAGCCACTGTGTACTCCAGCAGTTGGGCACTCAAAAGATCACACACTGCATGAAACAGATGCTAGAAAAGCTGTGTGCTACAGGATCCCAGCATAGGAGAAACTACAAGTTCCTGGAGCCTAGCAAGAAGAGCATACCTAAATTCCTAAGAGAAACCTCTTCCTCCTCCAGTCCTTCCAGTGCCCTGTCCTAACAAAGCATATCCTTATGACAGCTGACAAGGGAAAAAATGTTAAAGGACCTAGTTCAATTTTTGTGGAGGAGGCAATACAAGGTGAATTTGGAGCTGAGAGGCAAATATTGATAACCGGACCTAAAGCTAACACTGATTGTGTGACTCTTGTGCTTAAATTTTCTAGTGGTTCCCCATTGCCTTCAACAAAAAGTTCAAAAGCCCAAGCCTTGAGCTATATTTCCAGCCTTAGGCCCAACCACTCCTGCTTTGTCCACTTTAGAGCTCCATAATTACAGTTCCCTGAACTTGTCACGTTTCTGACAACCCCACATCTTTGCCTAAGTCCTTCTACCTACATGAAATTCTCTCCTTACTCTCATAAGTACACATATGCTTACTGAATACCTGCCCTGTACCCGGCTGTCTTCTGAGGGCTTGCAGTACAGCAATGAACAAACCAGGTTTTTCCAAGTCTCAGTTCAGATATCTCAGATATCACCACTCTTTGAAAAGTATTTTCTGACCTCCTTCTAATACCTGCAGATGTTAGATGCCTCATCCAAGAGTTTTTCTTCTGTTTTTCTTCTGTTCTTCTATATCTAGTGCAGGCTTCTTGACACTTATTATACCTTCTTTGAGTCACTGATTTTCCTGTCACTCTCTTCCACTGGACTGTGAGCTCCATGAAGCAGAGTGTGTGACTTATTTATTCATGTATCCCAGTATTCAGCACAATTCCAATAAAACACATAAATTTTGTCAGATTAATGATTTCCTAAGGATCACATAATTAGTCATAAATAGACCCAGGGCCAAAATCCTGGACTCCTGCCTCACAGTCAAGAGTGCTTCTTCACTACAGCTTCATCTGCCCTCTAGATGTTATGCCACAACTAGCTACGAAGGATAGCAGCCCTATGTTTTGCTTTGGAAAAGGCCAGTGCAATGCTGAATATCATCAGGAATGGTAATGGAAACTGAAGAGAAACATAGCCCTAATCTTATATTGGAAACTATAGTGCATTCACCCCCTCAGAGCCCTTGCTTGTAGGTTTTAAATCTCTGACTCACAGGAATGCTATAATGAAATCAGAAGTAGGAAGGACAACTTCTGATTGTCCTTCTGACCTGATTGTCAGCCTGACCAACATGGTGAAAACCCGTCTCTACTAAAAATACAAAAATTAGCCAGGTATGGCAGCACACACCTGTAGTCCCAGCTATTCAGGAGGTTGAGGCAGGAGAATTGCTTGAACCCAAGAGGTGGAAGTTGCAGTGAGCCAAGCTCATGCCACTGCATTCCAGCCTGGGTGACAGAGCAAGACTCCATCTAAAAAAAAAAAAATGTAGGAAGGACAAGTAAAAGATGAAAATGGTGTGGGGTATTATGACACTTACTCTTAATAAAGACTTTCATACTCTTATATAAGACAGGGCTAAGGTGACCCAAGTGTGTACACCAGGTCCCCAAATCAGGGAACCATGTTGCACAACTTTACAGGACATAGTTTACATGCCAGTCTGTAAATGAGCCATGTGTCCCTAGAATTGTGGATGATGATGCGAATGAACACGAGGGAAATCTTTGAAATATGAGCATGGCTTAGATAAACCAAAAGAGGTACCTATTCATTTGTTAAATAATAAACATGTAGAACTCATGCTTTCAAGAGGTAATACTAGCATGATATATAAGCAAGTTTGGGAAATTTGCTAATAAAGCCAAAAACTACTACTCAAAAAAAGGACAAGGTCAAGTAGGACTGCTCTTAGCAATATTGCTGTTGGCATCCAAATGCTGTGTTGACTTGGCCATGGGTTTGTCTCAGGATAGAAAAAGATCCAGGCTTCTGTGAAACACAGTTGAAGAAGGAAAGTTAATACGAATAAGGCAAATTGGGGAGATCTTGAAAGTCAGACAGGGCATAATTTTTATAAGAAAAGAGATGAAGATCCATTAAACGTTTTTCAGAGTTATGTAAAAACATGAGTGGTTAAGAAATTTTATTGGAGGGCAAGATGGCCAACTAGACGCAGACAAGTGGAACAGCTCCCACAGAGGAACTGAGATGACTGGAGTGCTTTTAACATGTCTTCAGAGGGAAGGCACAGACAGTGGACAGAGGGAAGGCACAGAAGCTTGGCTGAAGGGGGAGAAAGCTGGGAACCCCATACAGGCTACCATACACTGAAGCTCATTTTTGAACCACAACAGCTCTGGGGGAACGAGTGAGTTGAACTAGCAAGGAGCAACCTGCTCTCACCAGGGTCCACTGGAACCCTGGAAGGAGGGGACCCCTCAGTCACCACAGAAACTTGAGGTGGCAGGGAGAGCTGCTTAGAGAAGTAGGGCAGCAAGCCAGCTGATGTGGACCCCAGAGAGTTTGGTGTGGGAGTGTTTGTAGTACAGCATGGCCAGGGATGGCCATTCCACTAGGCTCAACTTGCTCCAATAAGAGACTTTAGCTGTAGGGGAACTGTTGGACCTGATCTCTGCAGGGCGGTCTTGTTCATCAGATGGGGCTGGTCTGATCTGAGCACCCCTTGGTCTGCTGGCCTCTTCCAGGCACAAGCCTGGCCATGCCTGCTTACAGGGCAGTCTCAGGTGCCTTGGGGGTCCACACCATAGCTTCTGCACTGGTGGACCATGCCTGATCAGTGGAGAGCTCCAGCAAGGTGGCCCCTATGGCTGCATGCTGCAGCCAGTACTTTCCCTCCCCATACTACAGCTTCCCTGAGCCCACAACAACTACCCACATCACTTTGCTGGCCCATGTCTGCACAGGCAGGTTTTGTTTTACTTGCCCCGCCAGCACACAAGAGTGTAGTCCACCCCTGCTGACCCCCACTGACTGCCACTGCAGACAGAGCCTTGGAGGGTACAGAACCAGCAAGCACCACCCCTGCCAACACCTTCCCTCGTGCTAACACTGTGCAGAGAACAGCAGATCCTCCTCCACCCTAAGCAACCACCCCTGCTTGCAGGACACAGAGAAGTCACCTGGACTTGCACCGGCCAGCACCCCACCCCCATTCAACACCACCTCCAGTGCAACAGCACACACAGTCTCCATCAGGGACCCCTGCTCCCCACAATAGCTGCCTTGCCTCTGCCACTGTGTGGTCATTTCAGGAACTTTTGTATGTCCCTGAGGACTTTGGAAACCATTTTTGTAATAATATTAATAAAAATTATTAATATTTAATTTTAAATTACCTTTTATGATGGAAAGTAAATAATATATATAAAGTACTTAAGGAGACTATAGGCCTTTTTGACTACAACAAATCAGTTTTCAAAGAAAATATGGCTGTCCTTAAGAATATTTTTAAATAAATCACATGAAATTTTTGAAAACTTAAGCATTTGGTAAGTAAAGGGGGAATTTTGGAAACATTATTTAATTTAGTAATTACAATTCTAGATTTTCACAAAATATAAATATCATTTATTTCAAGTATAATTTAAATATTTTGATTTTTTTTTTTTTTTTTTTTTTTTTTGAGACAAGGTCTTGCTCTGTCACCCAGGCTAGAGTACAGCGGTGTGATCTTGGCTCATTGCAACCTCATCCTCCCAACTCAGCCTCCTGAGTAGCTGGGACTATAGGCATGTGCCACCATGCCCGGCTAATTTTTGTATTTTTAGTACAGACAGGGTTTCACCATGTTGCCCAGGCTGGTCTTGAACTGAGCTCAAGTGATCCGCCCACCTCAGCCTCCCAAAGTGTTGGGTTTACTGGCGTGAACCACTGCACCCAGCCAAAAAATATTTTTATAAGACTTTACTGAAGGCCTAGAGTCTCCTTTACTAAATCATTAAATTATTTTCTATTATTTTTTTAGAGGCAAATGTTTATTATTTTTGTAAACAAACAAGTCATTACAAAAGTCCATTAAGTATCAGATTTTGGATATTTGTTTAACATCAAAAGCCAAGAATAAATAAGTCACAAACAAATCAAGTCACAATGGGAAAAAAAGTGAACAAAATCTACTGTTTTCTTAGGGACAAATGATGATGATGATGGTGATGGTGATGATGAAGAAAAATCATATAACTTCTTTGTTAGGAGAAAATAATGTGAAAAATAAGAGAAAATTAAATCAAAAGTAGAGCTAAGTATTTGCAACACATATGCATAAAGATTATCATTGTCACTGATAATAAATGCATTGCAATTAAAGTAATAATCCAACGTACAGGGATTGTTTTAACAAGATGGTTGAAAGGAAAAGCCCTATAAAGGCGTCTCTGGCAGCAGGTGTTATACATAAAACCTTCGGCACAGAAACAATAGGTAATGAAATCTGGAAGTTTACTGACTGTGCCAAACAGTATCCAAATATAATTTCAACTGTTGTAAGTTTGTAAGTGGTTGTACATTTTGTATTACTATAAAAAGTTTACAACCATCAATCTTTCATGGCACACCTGTAGCCCATTCTGCCATGGCCTCTAGTGGGGAGCTCAGCTTTAGAGAGCAATGAAAGGCAGAAGAGGATTGAGTGGTAATATGCATACTACAAACAATATTTGATGATATCCAAGTTTTCTAGGAAGGCCTATGGCACAGTATGAAAAACCCTGGGGAAGTATAGGGTTTAAGCAGATGAAAGAAGAAGGGCACTTCAAGTAAGCCGGCTAGAATTAGCAAAATACTGAGGGGAAGAGAGAAAAGAAGGATAGATTACTGTTAACAGTGGGCGAGACAGTGTTAAGCTTTGGATATATAATTTTTTTTTTTGGAAAGTGGCCAGAGCAGACTGTATAGGAAATTTGTGTTGGTAAAGAGTAGCGGAAAATTTTTAGTTTAGAATTATAGGTACAAATCATAGAAAACCTTGAAAGTCAGGATATGATTGTCATTTTGTGAGCAGTGCTCTCTGACTATAAAAAGCAACTTGGAAGATAGATCTGGACACACTGAACAGGACAGGCCAGAGAATGACCTGAGACAGGGAGACTAGTCAGGAGGCTGCACAATAGGTGATAAGGGGCTGAGCCAGAGACACAGGAGTAGAAATAGAAAGGGATTAATTGAAGACACATTTCAAAGGAAATAGTGGGATTTAGTGAGATTCAGCAGACTGAAGAAAATGGATGACTCTCAGACTTTGAGGCCAAAGGACTGAGAGATTAGTGGTATCATGTTCAGAGAAGAACCTGGGAGAGAGATTTAGTTGGGAGATGGACAATGGATTCTAGTGAAGTGTCCTGGAGGCAATGGGAAGTATGAAATAGAAGCACAAGGCGAGAGGTCAAAGATGGGAAAACAAGTGCAATCCACACAGTTTTGTCGTAGATAAAGCCGTGAAGAGGCTGCGAGCTCTCCAAGAAGAGCAACAGAAAGAATGCTGAAGACCTGAGTTGGGGGAAGATTGCTAACTCTTCCTCAGAGCAAGGAAGGAGGAAGAGGAATTATGGAAGGAGGCAAAGGAGCAATGCTGAGGAAAATAGACACACAAGAATGGCGTATGCTATCAAAGGAAGAGAAAGTCTCAAGAAGGAAAGAATTGTCATGTCTAGCAGGCCACCTCCCATGTCAGACTATGTGTATTCAAATCCTGCCTCTGTCACTTATTATATGTCATTGCAAAAGTTCTGTTATCTTTTCTAGTTTCATTATCTGTGAAATAATGCTAATATATTCTACCCCATAGGGATATTTTGAGGATTACTTGAGAAAAATGTATGGTCCTGTACTTAGCACAGTACTGGTCCTGTTATGAGTGCACCTGGCACTTACAATAAATTAATAGATATAATTGATAACTTTTAAGGGAAAAATAGAATGATGAGAAGAGAAAAAAAAACTGCAAGAGGTTAAAGAAGGACCAACCCCTGAGAAAGACAATGGGTATGGAAAACTTACAAGAGATTCCTTGCCCCAAAATGAAAAGAGCTTGCAGACCAATTGTTAGAAACAGCAATGGGATGAAGTAAAGGCTTTACTTAAGTTTGCTCTATACTGACTAAGGGTTAACATTGTTACTGTTGTCATGGAAGCTTCCTTAATTAGGATTGGGGCATCTTTTCGTTTACACGAGATTATCTGAGACTCCAGGAGAGAAATTAAACAATTGCACAACCAAAAGATCCTGTCAAAATACATGGACACAGAAAATGGTGCAGC
Source organism: Homo sapiens (assembly GCF_000001405.40). Lineage (NCBI taxonomy): Eukaryota > Metazoa > Chordata > Mammalia > Primates > Hominidae > Homo > Homo sapiens. The sequence continues at coordinate 123,983,359 of NC_000003.12, read as the reverse complement.
CGCTGTGGAAAACAGTGTGGCAGTTCCTCAAAAAATTAAAATACAATTACCATATGATCCATCCATTCCACTTCTGGGTATATATACCCAACACAATTTAAAGCAAGGACTTGAACACATATTTGTATACCTATGTTCATAGCAGCATTATTCACAATAGCTAAAATGTGGAAATGATCCGACTGTCCATTGACCTATGAATGGATAAAATTGTGGTACATCTAGCAAAATAGTATTCAGCCTTAAGAACAAGGAAATTCTCAGCTTGGGGCCAGTGGTGCAATGGGTAACACATCTGACTATGGATCCAAAAAAAAGGAAATTCTGACACATGCTACCACATGAATGAACCTGAAGACATTGTGCTAAGCGAAATAAACCACACACAAAGGGACAAATATTATATGCCATATGATTTTATATGATAGTCAAATTCATGAAGATAGAAGAATGGTGGTTGCCAGGAGCTGTGGGGAAGGAGAATAGGGAGTTAGTACTTAATGGGTACAGAGTTTCAGCTAGTGAAGATGAAAAAGTTCTGGAGATGGCTGGTGGTGATTGTGGCACAACAATGTGAATGTACTTAATGACACTGAACTGTACATTTAAAATGGTAAATTGTATGTATTTTTAACACAGTAAAAGAATATATATATGTGCAGACAACATGAGCAAATAAGGCACTGCTCTTTGATAGATAAAATGGGTTGAAAAGTCATCAGAAACAACTTATAAGAGTAACTTTTTAAATGATGAAATATTTCATACTGACAAAATTAAATACATGATGTAAGTAGAAGTATAAAAATAATGAAACAAGCATCTAGACAGCAACCATCCAGCTTAAAACATAGAGCATTACTAATAGTACTGAGACCCTTGTTGTATTTCCCTAATAACATCCCTCTCCATCCTCTCCCTCCTCCACCAGGGGTAACCACCATTCTGAATTTGTATTTATCATTCCTTACTCTTTATTATAATATTATAACATATATATGTCACCAGAAACAATATATTGCTTTTCCACCTAGCATGGTGAGACTCCTCCATGGTGATGTCTGTGGCATACTCATTGAGAATTGTTGTTATTGTCTTAACAATTGAAGCTTTTTATCATTTTATCAAAAACAATTGAAGCTTTCGTCACTCTTTTTTCCTAATAGTGCATTTTGCCTTAAAGTATCTTTTGTCTGGCATGAGTATGTCTACCTTAACTTTTATTGGTTATTCTTTGCTTATTTATACTCTTTTCACCTTGAGTCTTTCTGTGTCTTCATTTTTTCAGGTGTACCTATACCTGTATTTTAACTGGCACATTTAAGCCCATTTATTTTTATTGTGATTACTGATATGTATGCATTATTTTCTACCATGTTATTTGTCTACTTTTCCTGTTTTTACCCCTCCTTTCTTGCCTTCTTTTTGACTGATGAAGGGTTTTGTTTGTTTGCTTGTTTGTGTTTTTAAAAAATTCCTTTTTTCCTCTCTACAGATTTAGTGGTTACATTACTGTTATAACTTTTCTAACACTTTGCAAAGTCTAAAATTAATCATTATTTTATCCTCTTTTTCCTCCAAATAAAAGAACATAAATAAAGTAAAAGGTCATGAAGTCCCACCAACCTAAGACCACTTTAGTTTCTTGTCTTGGGATTTCCCAGCCATGCTGGTGTTGGCATAAATTGAAAACTTAGAACTAGTCTGTGGCTACCAACTCCTGGGGGACTGTTTCTCTCCTGACTAGAAGCAGCAATGGAGACAGGTTTCTTTGTTGCTTACCCCTGCCTGTAGGCGGATATTTTCAGCCACACCTTTTCACGCTGAGGGTGTAGTCCCTGGGCGGGTCTCAAGTTTAGGTCAGAAGGGGAGTCCTTTAGTCCAGACATTTGCCTTTTGTGAGCCTAATCCTTGGTCTCTATCCACCCTGCCTAGCAATTTATCTCAAAGCTGCAAGTTCCTGCCATCTACATGTGCCCAGGTGAGCCCTAGTTTCTTCATTTGCCCAGCACTGCGGGTTCCCCTTTACTCACCTCATTGGCCACTGGAAGATTTCTCTCACTTCACTGCAAGCCCAGCAAGGCAATGTGAAAGGCTTGTACTGAGATTTGTCTGGCCTCTAGGTGTTTTGAAGAGGGACAGCTTTTTAGCATATCTAGTCTGTCCCTTTCTCTACTAAAAGCAGAAAAAAATCTTTTGATCTGTTGTTTATTTGTGGAGGGAATTGTATACACTTTATGGATTTTCATATTTTGTTTCAATTTGTCCTGGAACTTTTTGAGAGAAAATGTACGAATTTTCCACCTGACAATTAGAGTGGAAAAGAACATGCAGCTGTAAAGAGAGACGCTCACCAAATGGCTGTTTAATGACTATTTTTATGTGGAAATGGCCTAATGTCAATTCACAGAGGGTTCAGAGTAAATTTTGCTACAATTCTTACCCAACTAATAAGTGCTGGACGACATGGAAAGATGTTCATGATATACTTTTGAGTAAATAAGCTGTTTTGTATAATCTTATTTTTTTATTTTACAAACATATATATACTGAAAAATTCTGGATTTTGGGGGGTGATATCATTATTTTGGGGCGATATCATTAGGGAATTTTTTGCTGACCTCCACTTTTTAAATGAACAAGGGCTGTGTAATTTTTATGTAAAGGACATAACTATTTCCAACAAAAAGTAGGGGTTAGCAGATGGTTTTCTAACCTTGGCGTTGTGTAATAATAGAATGCATTTGTCTTGCAGAGTCCCCAAAATTGAGTGTCAAACAGAGGCTGGGTGACCTCCTGTCCAGGATTGCTCTCATCGTATGAATCGAAGTTTTCATCTTAACGTATTTTTTTCTCCTGAGAATAGGCCAACCAATCAATGGCTCAGACAGATAAGCCAACATGCATCCCGCCGGAGCTGCCGAAGATGCTGAAGGAGTTTGCCAAAGCCGCCATTAGGGTGCAGCCGCAGGACCTCATCCAGTGGGCAGCCGAGTACGTGCTCCTTTCTCGCCTTCACCCCTTGGAGGACGGCCGGAGACAGAGGGTCCTGTAAAACCGCGGAGGTTGTCATGGCTGCAGCTAGGAAGTCCGGACTAACTGGCATCGTCTTTGTTTTAGCTCTTGCATTGCTTTGATGCTTTAAAATCCACACATAAATGCTACATCTAGCTGGGCAAGGATGGGATGCCTCCCCTAAGGGAGCCAGATTGAGCAGTAGGACGCCAGGTCAATAGGCCGTGTCCTGGGGCAAGCAGCAAGTTAGATGACCGCGTCACACCAGCGTATGCACACCCACCTCCTCCCTGCACGCCTTTTCCCACTCCCGGTGGAAAGAAGGGCTGGGAATCTCCGAAGCTTAATCTGCCTTTCTTCGTTCTCCTGTCTCACCACTAGATGGCAGCAGTGCAGCCGGGGGAGGGAAGCGACAGCCCTGGGTGGATGGGGTGGGACCAGTCCTGCTAGTTCACTCCTTTAAGGAGACACTTCCTCCCCTGCTGTTAAAACTCATACTTGGACCCAACCAAAGACCCTTTATATCTTGTCTTGGAGGAAATTATTGTTATTTTCTTTAGTGTTTCTCTGAACTGATTTTGTTCTGCCAACATAAAGATGTCCGCACAGTACACACTGCATTCTGGGGAAAGGCCAAGCAGAGTGATGGGGTCCTCAGGCATGGCTGAAAACAGTGTGCCTCAAACACGGGTGCCTTCTTTCAGGAGAGACCTCCAGAGGCTGCTCAGTAGATGGAGCTTACACAACAATCGCTGCGGGCCTGGATTGAAGTAGCTTTGCACAGAAAGCCTCTCAGCTATGAAATTGCTCCTTGGACAAACTTGCCTGCTTGAAACTGGGGAACCAGGACTTGAGACAGGAGTTGGAAGATAACTAGACCTCACGGACCATTTTCAGGCTATTTTTACTGTTTGATGATTCCCTGCTTAGGAGGGTTTCAGTGGGAAAGTGAGAGTGAGAGAGGCCGTTGAGAGAAAGCCAGTGAGTTGGGGAAGGGAAGATGTCCTCAGGCTGAGGTTGTGAGTGGGTGTCCTGGGCAGATGGTGGGGAGAGTGTGGACACCTTTGAGAAGACACAAAATGGCATCTAAGAGGGGCCTTTCGGAGTCTCTGGGCCAGTGCTGTGCTCCTGGACTGGATTAGGATGTAGCTTTTACAATTGGAAGGAAAATAAGCCAGTGGTGCTCATAAAAAGAAACATAAATGGGGGTTGCTTTGCCTAGTAATGAGCCCTGTTTAGTTCTCCATTTTAAATTTTATATATTGCCTCTAAGATTGAACTTTAGCTTCAGAAGACTAATTTATTTTGGCATAGTCAGATAGACAGACTTTATCTTATACGTTAGTTTCAAACCCATTTGATTGTTCTTGTGCTGCCGTTTTATAGTAAGCAAACTGACATTGCTTAGTATTGTCCCTGACATTTATGGAAGAGGCATTCCACTATTGTAGACTGCTTGCTCTCGTATTGTATCACGTGCTATAATTTTTTTAGACATCCATGAAAACTTAGTTTGTAGTTTAACCACAATGAAAAAGGAGGGCATGACCTAAGAGCCCCCTCCATTCTATCCAGACATGAAAAGCACTGCTCAGATGGTTGTATGTGACTTACTTAAAACCTGTAGCATTTTAGAGAATAAAACTCTGCAAAGTGTTTCCAAGACAAAATACGTTTTTAATCCATTGCAAGTAAGAATTTCCCTACATATGTGTTGTCAATGAAGAAACCTCTTACCAGGCATCGGCAGGACATATACTTATTTGTCCTCTGGTAGGCATGTGTTACAACACAAATTTGCAATATATGTGTATAACCATGGACCTGATCACTTGCAAATGAAGCTCAATAACCCAAAGAACGAAATCCATGATTACAGCTTTGCTTCCATGTTGTCTAACCAATTCCACAAGAAGTCCAGAGATGTTGGTGATGAGTGTTACTCTACCTGGGCAGCACTTCTGTGGAATGAGGTGCTGTGTGTCTCTGTCCCTCCCATTTATACCACCCAAGTCTGGTTTATAAAGCCTGAGGCCACACCCTGCTCCTATTGTCATATTGCACCCACACCCCGCCCACCCCAACACTGATCTGTGTGCAGAGATTTCTCATGCACATTGTTAAAGGTGCCCTTCCTGCTGATGACCTCCAAGGGGTGACTGGCAATTACTGCTTTAGTCCATGTAGCTTTCGCTCTGCCTTGCTACGTGGCTCAGAGACAGGCAATGGTTAGCCCATCATTGTATGGCTTGACCCTGAAATGGACTTTTACAAAATTCCCTCTATATTATTTTCATACTACCTGGATCTGGAGGAAGTAATGGAGGGAAAAAAGCAGGGCGGGACAGAAATTTGTGGTTCATGGATCGTCAATAACCAGGCTTTTGATGGAGACAGACCCTGCCATGCTGCATTGGTGACCCACATGTCAGCGGCTCATGTCCATTCCCTGCTGCAGGCAGCCTCTTTTCATCTTATGCCAGTCCTGAAACAGAACTCAGTACTTGTTCCACAATGCCCCCAAACGAAGTCCACTCCACAAAACATTGAGGAGCAGGCAGATTTCACTGAAAATTTTGAGGGAAGATGGAGAAACAGTTTCATTTCAGAGGCACCATATAGCTTAAGATTGTCTCAAACCTTCTTCGGCTTCTCTTCTCTCCTGAGCCTTGCAGGCTGCCCTGCCAATGCTCTCTCCCTTCCCTCTTGAAGCCCCAAGCCTCACTACCTCCAGCCAGAAACCCTTCCTGATTCACCCCAGGACACTTCCATCTCTTCCCCTTCCCTCCTTTTTTGTTTCTTCAGAGATGGGGGTCTCACTCTGTCACCCAGTCTGGAGTGTAGTGGCACAATTATAGTTCACTGCAGCCTCAAACTCCTGGGCTTAAGTGGTCCTCCAGCCTGGAGTCACCAGATTACAGGCCCTAGCCACCATTCCTGTGCTGCCTTCCCCTTTCTTACGTACATTACTTTTTAGTTCTCTTCCAACTTCTCTTCCCAATATTATATATACATATGTAATATACATCTGCGTGTATAAAACACTCAGAGATGACTGAAAAAGAAACCTGAACCCAATATGCTCCAGGGAATTGCATACCCAAACTTTTCTTGGTTCTTCCTCATCCTTAGAGAAGAACAAAGCTTTGTATTCTCTAAGCATTCTCTATGCCCTAAGTGGAGAGTAACACATTCAGACTTTTCCCATATGTAAGTGAACTAAACACAATGACACATAGAAGCCACTTAACAAAGGTTCCTTTCTCTACCTCCTTCCCTCAGAAGAAGGTGGAAGGATTGCTAGAACAGCCAGAGGCCACTGGTGTATAGGATCCTCCTACTCTCTGACTTTTTTTCTTGTAGTTATTTTGAGGCCCTGTCCCGTGGAGAGACGCCTCCGGTGAGAGAGCGGTCTGAGCGAGTCGCTTTGTGTAACCGGGCAGAGCTAACACCTGAGCTGTTAAAGATCCTGCATTCTCAGGTAAGGGCCCTGCTGCAGCATTGAGGAGAATGTAGGGACAGTGTTGAGGCTGGGTGGGTACAGACAAAAAGCCCTCTGTTCTCCTGACAGTCAGCTGACCACTTAGCACCACCCTAAAATACACTAAACCGTGGACTGAAAGTAAATCTTTCCTTGGCAAATGGGAATAATTTTGAAATAGGCTGTAGGCTGAGTCATTGGTGGGGTCATCCCAGATTTCCTTGAAGCTGGCAGAATGTACAGGGGCTCAATGCAATGCTAATCTCGTCTCTCCAGAAAAGTGCAAGTCCTCAGTCACTGGACAGTGTCTCCTTACTGATCAAGACTGTAATATGATGAAAATCACAGTTTGGGGAAGGGCATATTTTAGCTCCCCAGCTATCCAAGGTCCAGACATTGCTTTTAGCTTTTAGGGAGAGGCTGTGAGCCTCTTCATAGCCACATCATCCTGGGAGCTGCCTGGTGAATGAATGCATGAGGAAGGTGCAGCTTGAGAAAGTTTGTGGTTTGGCAAATTCCCAGGACATATGGTTGAGCACCACCAAACCCTGCTTTATGGTCCAGGACAGAGCGGTTTGGGGTGATTTAGGACTGGCTTGGCTAACCACCTTGGTCCCAGAGGCTTAGCATTTCACTAGAATCAGACAGTCAGGAAAGGTGTTGGAGCACTTCATCGGGCATCTGTGCTCTTGTTGCATTGGTGGCCAACAACCAGTCACCTTCCCTCCTTTTATCCACCAAGTACCTTGTGCAGTGAACATGACAGAGCTCTAAAATACCTGGGATCAAGCAACATTAGGCATCCAGACCAAATCCCCACAGGTCAGCCACATACCCCATATCATTCCTGGGAAAGCATGAGGGATGCACTTGAGGTCTAGAGCTAAGAACTCAGTGCAATCGGGAAGAAACAGACCTATGTCTTGTTCTAATTTTACCATTCATTAGTGGTCTCAGGTAAGCCCTCTACCCCTTGGTTTTGTTTTCAGGCTCTTCTATCTGTCATATAAGGAATAAAACAATTTAGGAATACAATAGCAGATAAAAGCATCACCAGAAATTAAAATGTAATATAAATGTATATCTTTTGCATAATTCTGACACCTAAAGTTTGAGAATTAATAAATTATATTTCAGCATGCTCTTCACTAGGATTTGCAAAGATAACTGCCACACAGAGCCATCTTTACCTTCCTAACACCCCCTCCCGCCCCTTGCCATGTGCTGGGAGATGTGGACCTGGCCTGGGGACAGGGTGTTTCTCAGGGCCTTGTCTCAACTTCTCCCACAACCTCTGTGTTGTGTCTGTCCCCTGCCCTGCAGGTTGCTGGCAGACTGATCATCCGTGCAGAGGAGCTGGCCCAGATGTGGAAAGTGGTGAATCTCCCAACAGATCTGTTTAATAGTGTGATGAATGTGGGTCGCTTCACGGAGGAGATCGAGTGGCTGAAGTTTTTAGCCCTTGCTTGCAGCGCTCTGGGAGTTGTAAGTTAGCTTGACTGTTTTTTGTTCCTGAAGGGGAAATCTCCCTCTGGGCCTGGAAGGGCAGTGCATCTATACACGCGGTCAACTCTGCAGGGCTGATGATAAACATGCCTCTTCTCCTCTTGTCCTTCTCCTCTCTAAAGCAAGGTCATTTCTGTGCTCGTCAGGCAGTGGCAGGGGTTGGGAGGAGGAGAGAGGGAAACACTGTGGTCAGGCTCTGGGGAGAGTTGACTACAGTGTAGCTCTTGGATTATTTATGAATATTGCCCTCAGATTTATTTTCACTCCGCTCCTTCCATTCATATTCCCAGAGACAACCAAGAGCCGACTGTAGAAAAAGACTTCCAGACACCTAGAATATATATCAATAGACACTGTTTAAAAGGGGTACAATCTTATCGAAAACTATGTAATAAACAGAATTGGATGCAGAACTCAGACATAAGAAAGCAAAAAAAAAGAGAGATGAGGCTATTTCTGAATTTAGTCATGACATCTCCATGGATGCAGGATGTTCATACAGATTTATGCCTTTTCCAAATTTGACTTGTTTGATATTGGAAATGCAATTTTACTGTTTTGAAGCCAAAGATGCTGAAATCAGCTTATATGTATAGATATTTAAAGCTTGGGTATCTTATATGTGGACTTACATTGCTAAACATTGTTAAAATAACTTAAAATGAATCAAAAACGTGTTTTTTTAAAAGAATCCCTGAGATACATACAAGTTTGAAAATTATTGAGAAAATAATTGCCTCTGCCAAAACCAAATGGTATGAAAAGGTAGTCTGAATCATTCAGCATATCTAAACATAATCTTGTTCTTCTCAAATATGCTTGGAATACATATTTGACAGGTTTGTTTCTGAGAAAATTTAGTGGAAATATTGTAGTCCAAATTTCCTATAGATTCCCCTACAGCCTTCATCATAATCATTTCTTTAGAGAGAAGTAAACAAGAGGACATTTGTGGCACTTTCTTCATTGTCCTTTATAGCATTTATTACTGAATAAATCACTATCCTCTGAGGAGGAAAGGAAAGTAAGCAGCAGAGGCCTATGAGTTGTCAGTCAGGACTGGGGAAAATCACAAACAGGAAGATAAAAAATGAACATATTTTATTAAATTCTCATAGGGTTACAGATTTTTTTCACACCACATTTGGAGACGTTTTTGGGGGAAAATATACCTTTAAAATTTTATCTGTAGTTAATTTGGATCTTCTTGGTCTACCCCACCCACAAAGGGTCAAATAAGAAAATAAATAAATTCAATCCAATCCTGAAATTTTAGTCTGATGCAGTAACTGAAACAGCCTAAAGGTAAATTTCCCAGTATCTCAGGTTTTTCCTCACCACGCTCTCTTCTCCAAGATGGCAGTTGAATGTAGGCAGAAAGAGCTGACTCTAGGACCACAGAGCAGTCAAGTGAAGGGTTTCTCACATCCCTTAGTCTTCCCTGGCATCTCTGGTCTCCATGGTAATGCCTGTCTGTCTGGTCGCTAGCTGCTTGCAGCTTAAGTTTTTGGTCTCGTCTCTCCCGGACTGGTGAAAGGCTGATGATGCCTCCCCAACTGGCTCATTTCAGTTCTCAATGGTGTCGAGGGCCTCCTTGATTCTCTGCCAGGCTGTCCTATCTGCTCCCTGGCTCTGGTGGTCTACTTCACAGACCCTCACCAGTGTGTGGTGTGTCTGAGTTCTTCCCTTATCCCCATACCTCACAGTAACAAAGAGTGACTTTGGAAAGTCAGATTCCAACCCTCCCTCTGCTTAGCCCACGGTGTAGATGCTAGGTTTCCTCTGATGTACCTGCCTCCCAAACTGGAGAGGGGAAACCATGAGGTGAATTGAATCTTTCTACTTCCCTTCTAAAATAAGGAGGTGGGATTCAATATTCCATGAGGTTCATCTACCTCTGACATCCTGTGATTCTATCCCCACTTCTCTGCTTCCTCTGAGACACCCTCAGGCCCACCTCTGAATAACAGTGAGCTCCTCCAATTCTAAGAGGCCTTGACATATCTGACTTTGCTCCTCATCATCCCCATGTCAAAGAACCCCTAGAGATAAAGTCAGCCTGGAGGTTAAATCTGCAAATAAAGGGTGTCCTATGAAACCAGTAATCAATACCCTTATATTCATTTCTATCATGCTGGAGCTGGACTGTTTCTGGGATCTTAAATGTGGGGTTGGCCAGTGGTACGGTGTGAATGTTTGTGTTCTCCCAAAATTCATATATTGAAATCTCAACTTCCAAGGTGATGGCCTTAAAAGTAGGGCCTCTGGGAGTTGATTGGGTCATGAGGGTGGAGCCCTCATGAATGGGATTAGTGCCCTTATAAAAGTTGCCCCTCCACCAAGTGAGGACACATAGAAGGCATCATTCATGAGGAACAGGCCCTCACCAGAGAGCAAATCTGCTGGCCTCTTGGTCTTGGACTTCCCAGACTCCAAAACTGTGAGCAATACATTTCTGTTGTTTATAAATTACCCAGTCTAAGGTATTTTATTATAGCTGAGACTAAGTCAGGGGTCACCATCTGGTGGAGACCTTGCATCCTAGTTAATTCATATATCCTTAGAGGCAAGCCCAGAATTTCTCTTTCCTTTGCCAATTCAATAGCAAGACAAGATCTCTATGCCATTCAGAAAAGCCAGTTTGTTCCTTGTAGAAGATCTAGTAACAGGAATTTTTACTCTGGTAGGTAATAGGTACATTTACTCCATCTTGAGCTCTCTGCGTCTAATACACATTATTCAGAATGCGATGGCATGCAGACCTGTATTCCTCCTCCCTTCAGCACTCCTTCCTCTGGACTGGCCTATGCCACCTCCTGTTCCACTGAACTGATTATTAAAAAAGGAAGAGATCACGTATGTAGAAAATAATCATGTTCACTGGAAGGAATGACATATTTGTTAGCAAACGATTTACATTTCAAGGCTTTCACCTCTAACTTTGAAAATGAAGCTCGCAAGATGCTTAAAGATTATGTCTGTGAAGCGGATCCCAAAAAAATATTGTGCAAGAGAATGAAGATCTGTTTACTTTAGGTTTATGTCAGTTTACCAAATAGCTCCAGTCCAAAGAGTTATTTATACACTCATCCATTTATTAAATCTTTAAAAATACTTAAAAATCTTATGAGGCAGTAGAATTTGAAGGTTTGTAGTTTGAATAATCAATAAAAGATGATGTTTAGGGTTGAAAGCCGCTATGTTAGTTTGTTGCCATGACTTGGTGGCTTGAACAACAGAAATTTGTTGTCTCTCAGTTCTGGAGGACAGTTCTGGGAACAAGCTGTCAGCAGGATTGCTTTCTTCTGAGGCATTTCTCCTTGGCTTAAAAATGGCCAGCTTCTCAAACTGTGTTCCTCTGTGCCTACATGTCTGGTGGCTCTCTCTTTATATCCTAACTCCTCTTCTTATAAAGACACCCTACTAACTTCATTTTAACTTATCTTTTTAACGGTCGTATGTTCAAATACAATCACATTCTCCAGTTCTGGGGTTAAGGCTTTGGCATGAACTTTAGGGGGAACAATTCAGCCCATACCAGCACCCCATGGGAGAGGGCAACAGAACAAAGCATTAGGGGTGCAGAGGGTTGTTTTTGTTCATTTGTTTGTTTTTTACAGAAACAGGGTGAGCTGTGGGTGGAAATTATAATGTTCAGAGTGTGCTTGCAAATCTACCCCAAACCATTCTCCCACTGACCTCATCTCACATGCATGATTTACCATCCTCCCAGACAGCCTCATATATACTAGTTGGCCCCATGCCTGCCCTCCCACCTGCTCTGAATTAAGTGAAAGTGAGTAGAAGATGCAGTGTTTCACAACAATTTCCATGAGAGGACCCCCAGGGGCAGAGGAGAGGAAAGGAAGGTGGCCTGCCTCAAACTCAATTTTTTTTGACATCATGTATTGAAGATTCTGTTTTATAAAATAACAATGCTTATTAAATGTAAAGAATCAAATTTGAAATATTAACTCAATTAAAATTAATAATTATTACAAATTATGTTTAAATTACTTGCCATCAAGTAAAACTATCACTCAAGGAAGAGTTTATTCACATCCTCAGTACCTCCTGACATAGACTTACGCTCCTGGGTAACACACACCACAGTTAGAGAAGCCTCATCTAGGCAATCATTCTGTTCTGGGAGAGGATGAGAGGAGAACAGCAGACATCAACTGCTAAGGCAGGACAAGTCTCCTCTACTAATCATGTGGGAAGATACAGCAGCTGCTTTTTCACTCACCCTAAGTCACCACTCAGAACTGATCTTTCACTGATCCCTGGAAGAGTGTCAGGATGATCCGTACATCATCAGTTTCAGTAAACCACCAAGATCTGTTGGTGACCTTCATTTCACAACTCTTTTGCTTGTAACATTTATTCAAAGGGTGGGTTATTTAAAGACATGAGATGAGTTCTGAGCATGCTCCTTTAATGTTCAAGTTTCATTGCAAGGAGGGTTTGCTTCTGTAGTAACCCTTCTATTAAAATTCCTGGCACTCATTGTCAACCAATATTTCCCCAGCAATAAAAGGGTTAGTATTATGTAGTATGAAATAAAGCACTAGCTGATTCTATTTAGATGGACCCAGATGCTTTAGAGGAACGTTTATCTTGATGTTTAAGAACATTTTTCCAGTATCTTCCTGGGACTCCATTTTCCTGGGGAAATTACCCTTCTCCTACCTTCTTCTCCTCTACTGTGTCATTGCCACAAGTATCCTGCTGGACTATATAGGCTAGACCATCTATCTCAGCCCTTTAGAGATAAGACTGGAGGGTAATAAGAAGAAATAATTCTAATTATATAGAATGCAAATCAACTTCCCTCCTTTAGTGAGGTTATTCGGGCTAAAGTAACAAATATCTTAAAGTACTTAGGAATGTATAAATTTAATTCCTTGAGTAGTCTTCCAACAAAGAAAGAAAAGAAATAAAGATACCCAATACTTAATATTTTTTAGAATGAATTAGTGACATTTGAATGTAAAAATTTCAAGCTTTCTAGAATCTTAAATTGTTCCCACTTCATTTTATAAGAGCAATATTTTTGTTTTCTTTCTTGTATCTAAACCGATCTCAGGAATATTGCCTGGAAGAGTAACTTTCTCCTCATTTTATCTAACTTTTATAGACTATTACCAAAACTCTCAAGATAGTGTGTGAGGTCTTATCATGTGACCATAATGGTGGGTCGCCCCGGATCCCGTTCAGCACCTTCCAGTTTCTCTACACGTATATTGCCAAAGTGGATGGGGAGATCTCTGCATCACATGTCAGCAGGATGCTAAACTACATGGAACAGGAAGTGTAAGTTAACTTTTGTCAAGTGGAGGTGAAAGAATACCAGGAAAAGAAATCTAGCTGGCCAAGATAGTGAGATTATTGTATTATACTGCTCTGGAAACAGAAAAGTATTGTGAGAAACATGAAATATGGATGATCTGAAAGAAAACGGGAAAGGGAAGGAGAAGAGGAAGGAAAAGAATGATATAGGAAAACAATTCTTTCAGTGCTACTGAGACTAGCAGTAGCGGCAGCAGCACCTAAGAAGATGTTAGAAATGCAGAATCTCAGGCTACACCCTGGACCTATGGAATCATAAACTCTAGGGCCAGAGCCCAGGAATCTGTGTATTTATAAGCCCCCCTAGTAACTCTGACTCACGCTTAGCTATGACCAGTGGAACAGAAGTGGAGAAGGAGGAGGAGGAGAAGCAGGCAGTCAAAGGTTAAAAGAAAAAGAGGGCCGGTCATGGCGGCTCACACCTGTAACCCTAGGGTGGGTGGATGGCTTTAGCTCAGGAGTTCAAGACCGGCCTGGGCAATCTGGTGAAACCCTGTCTTTACTAAAAATACAAAAATTAGCTAGGCGTGGTGGTATGTGTCTGTATCAGTTAATTGGGAGAATAGCTTGAGCCCAGGAGGCAGAGGTTGCAGTGAGCCAAGATTGCACCAGTTACTCCAGCCTGGATGACAGAGCCAGACCCTGTCTCAGAAAACAAAACAAAACAAAAAAAGAGAAAAAGGAGCAACAGCAGAATTAATGTGAAATGAGAGTTGTTTGCATATTGTCTTTCTTAAGATTAACTGTCAATGAACTAACTGCAGATATACCTTTTTCCAAACAGAATTGGCCCTGATGGTATAATCACAGTGAATGACTTTACCCAAAACCCCAGGGTTCAGCTGGAGTAAAAGCACAATTTTGGCAATTTTAAAGGAAGATACAGAGATGATTGTACTTCAGAATGACTGAAACCCATATACCACCCAAAATCAATTTTCTTGTACAACTGGTACACACTAATAAACAATTAAACATATGAGATCAGAAATGTGCAGAATTAAGATGTGAAATTGTTGGAACAAAACACCTTCATTACCAGATTAGTATTCTTCCCACATGGACACTGAGTAAAAGTGGCTGACAAAGCATGGATAGAAAATGCATCTTCAATCAAAGCCAGACTGTCAGATTTTAAAAGGTAGTATGTTAACCAGACACAGTGTTGTTGTTCTGTGATTGTTAGGCATAATTTAGATGAGTGTCTTTTATATGGTCAATTGAAGTTTTTACCAGTTTATTTCTCCATTTGTTGGTACTGTGCTAGTCATTCATTCATCCTCTCACTCATCAATATTTATTGAGGTTAGCTATGTGCCAGGAATAGGGTTGCAAGAAATAAATACAGGACACCCAGTTAAATTTGAATTTCAGACAAACAACAAATATGTTTTGTTTTGGTTTTTGCTAAACCTGGCAGCATTCCAGGAACTATGCTGGCTTCTGAGCACATACAAATAAATAATATCAGAATTCTGCCTTCAAGGAGCTCACAGTCTAACATTAAGATACGACATGAACATAATTCACTTTCATGCAAATGGCCTTGAGAAGAACTAACAGTATGCCAGAAAGTGTGTCAATGGATTTTTCTGAAACCATATACAGATGTCATGGAACCCACTAGAGAAAATCCCCTACATGAGCCTAAGACCTTCTGATAAGGTCTTAAAGATTTTCCTTTCTCGAAAGAAACAGATGAGATTAACAGGCTGTGATTATGGTTCTTAATGTCAGGTGTGCCAAGGTCACTGGGTCAGTCCCTTCTATTTGTAATACTATCCCCTCTTAAAAGTCACTTTTGGGCCAGGCGTGGTGGCTCACGCCTGTAATCCCAGCACTTTGGGAGGTCAAGGTGGGCGGATCACGAGGTCAGGAGATGGAGACCGTCCTGGCTAACATGGTGAAACCCTGTCTCTACTAAAATTACAAAAAATTAGCCGGGCGTGGTGGCGGGCACCTGTAGTCCCAGCTACTCGGGAGGCTGAGGCAGGAGAATGGTGTGAACCCGGGAGGCAGAGCTTGCATTGAGCCGAGATCGCGCCACTGCACTCCAGCCTGGGTGACAGAGTGAGACTCCGTCTCAAAAAAAAAAAAAAAGTTGCTTTTGCTCAAAAATAGTGTTATGTTACATGCATATATATCTCTCTCCATCAATTGAGGAGAAATTTGTCTATTAGTGTCCAAAGGTAAGAGGAGATTGTGATTGGATGTTACCATGGTCCTTAATTTCTGACCCGAGTGAAACAATAAAAGGGACTGAAACAAATTCTTCCCCCACAGCACTGGGCTGCACCTGCAGGGGATGGGCAACAACTAATGCTACCTGCTGTCTACCTTCCTAGCCAAAGTGGCCCCTCATTTCCTTTTTTTTTTTTAATTAAACTTTAAGTTCTAGGGTACATGTTCACAACGTGCAGGTTTGTTGCATATATATACATGTGAGTGGCCCCCTCATTTCTATCTGCTCTGGAACCTAAGGCTGTTTGAGAAGGCTGAAGCACTACAGGTGAAACCTGACACTGTAATTAATCAGGATTAGAGAACGAGTGAAATCCTTTAACCTGCCTCAGATTCTTGGTGTCTCTCAGTTTCTCTTTCACTGTGGCCAAAGAACTGAAATATGATCTTGTCTGCAAATAGGGAATAAAGGGGGACAGAAGAGACAGCTCCAATTTGAAAGACCTTAAAATAATAAATTAGGATCATAAATGTAACAAAAGCAGGAGTCCTTTGTACATTTGGGAAAACAGGTTGAAATCAGACACTTAGTCTTGGTAGCCTTGAACATAATCCCTCAAGACTGAGGCTAATGAAATTCCAACAACCCAGGTGTATACTAGACACAGACATGAAGTTATTGGTGCTGTAGCTATCCGTGCTTACTGAGACTAAGCACAATTGGCAATACCATTGTTCACTGCCAATTGCTCATCTTTTGAGCCACCACTTGGTGTGCACCACCTTCCTCCTCTCCTGCCCTGGCTCACTGGGGCAATGCTTGCTCTAAGCTATTGATATTGCTATGCCACAGCTGCTCACTAGGGACACAGTATCTACAGCACATCTGCCAAATCAACCTGCTTCTGCAGTCACCCCAAGGATGGAAAACAGCTTTGTGCTTTGCCCTCTACCTGGGCTATGCTGTATTAACAATATTATAAATACTGTATTAATGATAATACCCAACATTTATTAAGCACTTACCATGTGTAAGCCACTGTGTATAGTGCTTTATACATTCTCAAATTTTTCCTTACAATATGACCTTATGAGGTCAGTGTCATTATCTCTAAGAAACAATCTTAGATAAATTAAGTTGTTCAATGTCACTGGTGAGAAAGAATTTGAATCCAGATCTGACTCCAAACCTATGATGCCTTGTATATATCCTCAGTGCCTGTCTAGGTATGGGATTCCTCCCACCCCCAGCCTGAAATAATCCCTGAGACAGAGATTTACATGCAAATAGTTTATTTAGGAGGCGATCCCAGGAAAGTGGAACAGGGATAGGAAGAGTAAGATATTATAGTGATGGGAAGAAAGCTAATAAATGGTGTGTTATCCAGCCAGTTACCCCTGTACCCCAATACTGCTGGGGAACTCTGGGAGACAGCATAAAACACATCTCAGAGTTATCCCAATCGAAGGGTGAGGAAGCTCTTCATCCATCACTGGATAATCCCCACCTGTCACTGACTGAGGGCTTCTTCCAGGGGAATTAATGTCCTGCCTTTCCAGCTTGCCTCAGTTTGCTCCTTTTGCTCCAGAAAAAAGGCTCTCAGCCAGGAAGTCATAGATGTTCACAATAAGAAGCCACCTGCATCTGCTACACTGCCTTACAGATATTTTAATAAAACAAAATTTTAACATTTTAATCACTATTAATGTTTCTCTCTTTGGATCACGCAGAAGTCTTCAGGGTCTGCAGGGCAATAAGTGACTGTCATTGTGCTGTATTAAAATTCACAACTGACCCACAAACATGACACATTGTCCCCAACCATTTCTTCCTTGTGATGGGATCATTCCAAAGGGGGTCCCTTGATTCTTGCTGCCAACAGATCCTTGTCAGACCCATCCCACTGGCTTTCCTATCATAATCAGCAATATCTATACAGTCCTAGCATGACCCCAGTTAAACTGTCAAATGAAGGCCCTTGTAACATATGGTTTGTATTTCTCCTTTAAAAAAATTTTCAGGAAGCAATAAAATCAGGATTTTATAAAGCAAAAACAGTGGGCTCTTTCTTTCCTAAATTAAGCTATTTTGATTAAAGTGAAGACTGCAGATATATAAGCTTCAGTGGGAAATGCAAAGATTATGGCCCAATTCCATTTTCTCTATGCTCCATGCCCTTCCTCTCCTTGATGCTATTCCATCAGGGACCTACCATCCCTAGTTAACCAACTACTTCCAGGATCACCAGGGCCCTGCAACAGAAGGAGCTGGACACCCCAATGTGGAAGGCTGGTTTTGAATTAGGTTAGAATAGGAATCTTAACCTGAAATCCTTGGAGAGGCTCCTGAGTGCCTCTGATAACATTATATATGTAATCATGTCTCCAAAATGTGCTCATTAGCATTTTTCTGAAGAAAAAATTATAAGGCTTTGAGCAATTTCTCAAAGTTGTATATTATCTCAAAAGGCCAAGAACCTTTGGGTTCAAAATAGCCCCAGAGAGCACTAAATGGCTTGAGGAAAGACAACAGCACAGTCTCTCAGATCTTTCCAAGCAGAACTGAGCTCACGCTCCCAACATGTGACTTCTTATCCACAGCCTCTTACTTTTTGAATCTTAGATCCTGGCCATAAATCTGTGTTTTTAGTTTAGATCTTCATATACTTTCAACTTTGGTCATTTCCTATAAACTGGAACATGGTCAAACCTGAACAGAGACTTTCACACTTCAGAGGTGAGCCAATTGGCAAAGTCATTGGTCCAATGTGCTGAATTATGAAAGACTGGATAGACAAGCAGAGTTGTGTATCCATGATACTAGAGGCACTAAACCTCCGGACCAAGCTCAAAGGGCTAGTCCTGGACAATCCTGAGCCTTGGACATTCAAGTAGCTGTCAGCCCCAGTGCACCAAAGCAGTCCAAACAATGGCTGATTCATTGGTTTATTCAACAAATAATTAAGAAATTCCTACAAGTGCAAGGGATTGTGCTAGGCACTGGGGATACTGCTTTGAACAAGGTGAGGTCCCTGCTTTCATAGAGATTAAATTCTACTTAGGAAGACAGATATTACATAACTAAACACAAGTTTATAATTGTGAGAAACGATGCTACTACATAGTAGCATGAGGCACACAGTTAGTTTGCAGGGGCAGGATAGAGAGGCTTTCTTGAGGAAGTAATTTGAGAACAAGTTCGGAAGCCACAGGCAACTCGGAAAGGTGTATCTGCAGCCCACAGGTCTTTGCCACGCTCCAGACTCAACTATCCAGTAGCTAACTTGACATCTTTTCTTGGATGACTCCAAAGTACTCCCTAATTTAATAAATCCAAAAATGACTTTCCTGGTTTGCATTTTTTTCATAATAAAATGTTGGAGAGAAATGAATTCACAAGCTTCCTTCCTAAATGTGGATCTCTCCCACCACCTGCCAAGATACAAAACCCAGAAACCAGGGTCAACAAATACCTTCCCCTTGCCTGACTTTCCAACTCTTATCACCAAGTGCTCTCCATTTTACCTCCTATGCATCTCTCAAATATGTCCTCTTCACCTTCCCTCACCACCACCTCCCTTAGGTCCCCTCATCCCCTCCCAGCTACCAACATATTTCATCTGGACTTCCTATCAGTCTGGTCCTCACAGGGAACAGAAGACAATCTAGATTTTTGAGGACAATTAAAAGGTTTACGGCCGGGCGCGGTGGCTCACACCTGTAATCCCAGCACTTTGGGAGGCTGAGGCGGGCGGATCACGAGGTCAGGAGATGGAGACCATCTTGGCTAACATGGTGAAACCCCGCCTCTATTAAAAATACAAAAAATTAGCCGGGCGTGGTGGCAGGCGCCTGTAGTCCCAGCTACTCGGGAGGCTGAGGCAGGAGAATGGCGTGAACCCAGGAGGCGGAGCTTGCAGTGAGCCTACACAGCACCACTGCAGTCCGGCCTGGGCGAAAGAGCGAGACTCTGTCTCAAAAAACAAAACAAAACAAACAGAAAAAGGTTTACATAATGGACAAGGAAAACAACAAGGGAGTTGAGGCACCCAGGGACTAGCAAACCATTATCACCCCTAAGACTGAAAAGACAAAGGGAAGGACATGTTTTATTAGAGTGTGAGAGGACTGGAGCTCCAGGGGCTCCCCTGATGATGCAGAGGGCCAGTGCATCAGCCAAACGGTGCTGAGAGAGCAGGAATATCCCATTCTCTCCCTCTTCTATTGACTAAACAGAACCTGAAGCTGGAGGGCATGTCTGACTGATGTCAGTCCAAGGGGAGGACAGAGAATGGATGCAGGAGGAGAGAACTTGCTCACACCCATACTTGCCTTTCCCCCAAGCACCCTCTATGCTAGTGATCAGCAAACTTCTTCTGTAAAGGCCCAGATAGTAAATATCTTAGGCTTGGCCGGCTAGACGGTCTCTATCACAAATACTCAACTTTGGCAGTTGTAGCACAGATAATGTGTAAACACATTAGCGTGACTGTGTTCCAATAAAACTTTGTAACACTGAGATGATTTTCAGGTAACTTTTCACATCACACAATATAATTCTTTTGACTTAAAAAAAACTACCTGAAAATGTAAAAACTGTTCTCAGGCTACATCCAAGAATGGCAGACTGAATTTTGCCAGGGACTGTAGATTTCAGATTCCTGCTCTACACTACAGCCATTGATCTTTGTAAAACCCCAGTCAGTTCACTGTGTCCCCTGCTTGAACTTTTATGTATTCCCAATGGCCTTAGGATAATAAGCCAAATCATGTAGTCTATGAGGACTGCATAGTCTGGCCCTACATATATTTCCATCCCCACTGTCTATACTTCAGCAGCAAGGAACTCTCTGGGTTTCTCTTTCTCAACATCATGCTGTCTCCACATCTTTAGAATACTCTGCTCTCCACTCTCTATCTAGTTCATTTGCAGATCTCAGCTCACTGCAACATTATTTATAATAGCAAACAACAAAATGAAACGGGGTGGGGGCATAACATTCCCAACACTAGGGAAGTGAATCATGGAACACCAGGCAGCCATTTTATAATTGTAGACTAATGAGAAACAATGTTGATTAGATATTAAGAGAAAACACGCATGTTACAGTAATACCTATTATTTCATATTGTCGTAATACATTTATACATATATATGTAGGTGGAAAAAATCTTGAAGGGAATGCACCAAGCTGTTCAAAGTGATAACTCATGGGTAATGGGGTTATGGGTGGTCTTTTCCTTTTTGCTTATCTATATTTTCTAAAATAAACATGTATTAAGAAAAATCAATATGAATTCAAAAAATATCAACTTAACTAAAAAAAACCCCTTAATTTCAGGTGAATATGTCAGCAAGTTATGAAGTTATGTGAGGGCTGGGGAAGGAAAGGAGAGGTTTTCACAGTTTGATCTAATTCAAAACTAAATCTGTGAAATACTCATTTCCTAAAATCACTCAGGATAAGTGTGTGATATTTTGGTGGACATATTTTAGTTCCTGGGCTTTGACATTAATTGTAACAGACTTTTAAAGCGTAGCTCTTTTCTCCATTAAAAAGAAATGAGGCCGGGCATGGTGGCTCACCACTGTAATTCCAGCACTTTGGAGGCCAAGGCGGGCGGATCACCTGAGGTCAGGAGTGTGAGACCAGCCTGGCCAACAGGGTGAAACCCTGTCTCTACTAAAAATACAAAAATTAGCCGCGTGTGGTGGCACGCACCTGTAATCCCAGCTCTTCAGGAGGCTGAGGCAGGAGAATCGCTGGAACCCAGGAGGCAGAGGTTGCAGTGAGCTGAGATTGCGCCACTGCACTCCTGCCTGGGTGACAGTTGAAATGGAATAAACTGAGTTATCTCTCTTCAACTTGATTTAAATCATTAACCCAAAACTCAATGCCTTAAAAACCAATGACTAAAATCCTCATTAAAATGAGTGCACATGCCAATACTAAGAATGTTGTGTCATTTTTCATCAAAAGTAATTACCTCAACATAAGAGGAGACAAGTACGCATGGAAGTAAACCCAAAATCCCAACTAATGAACACCGTTCTGAGATCAGTGGCCACAGGGAATAATTCTGCAATTTCCATCACACGCAAAGGTAACAACCCCGAGGTCTTATTTTTATAGAATATCAAGAACAAAATCTTCCAAAAGGCACACGATGCCAAACTAAAAATAAAGAGCGAAAACCCAAAAAGTCGCGCTCAATTCCTTCTGAAACCTATTCGCCTCCTACCCCTGTCCCATCCTCTGGCGCTGGCGGGTCCTCGTCCCCGTTTTCCCCACCGCAAGTCCTGGAACCTCCGCTTAACTCTTTTCTCGGCGGCTCCGCCCCGGCCCCGCCCCAGCCATGCCTTGGCCCCGCCCCGTTCGCCGTTTATTGGCTTCTCCCAACCCCTGCCGGTGGGTGACAAGCCGGGAAGCTTGGAGGGGTCTATTGCGTACGCCCAAGGCGCTGGGCCTGGAGCAGGAGAAAGGGAGTGGAGGCGCGTCGGAGACTATGAAGCGCGGCATTCGGCGGGATCCTTTCCGGAAGCGGAAGCTCGGCGGGCGGGCCAAGAAGGTCCGGGAGCCCACGGCGGTTAATTCTTTTTACCGTGAGGCTTCACTTCCCTCGGTCTGGGCTTCTCTGAGGCGGCGAGAGATGGTCAGGTCTGGAGCTCGACCGGGCCAGGTGAGGGCTGAGGACCTGAGGAGTCCGCTGTGGGGATGGAGAGGGACAGGGGGGTTTTCGGGCCAGGAACTTGTAAAACTCTGCTCGAAAAAAGACAAAGACAATGCGGCGACATTAAAGTGCTGGGACAGAGGTGCAGGGAACACCTAATCTTCCCGTCGTAACACGGCCGCTCGGTCTCTAGATGTTTCTGTTTAAATCGTCGTAGCCCTAGTCTAGAGCGCCGGCTTTGGGGTCAGGCCCGGGTTCGAGTCCCAGCCTTCGCCGCTGCGTCGAGTGACTTAACCTCTCCTAGCTTCAGTCACCTGCAGATTGAGAGTCTACTACTTTTTACTGCTCAGAACTTCCTATTCCTTAGCTGCAAAATAGGCAGAAATAAGCATAAAATCCTGTCTCAAAGAATTGAGAAGGTTAAATAAGAGAACCCGGTAAAAACATCGATCACACAGTTGTTGTAGACATACAACAAAATTTAGTTCCCTTTAAAACACGTAGTTTGCCACCATCTTAATGATAACAGCAGCCAACATTTAGATAGGACTTATGTGGCAGATGCTACTGTAAGTGCTTTTATGTATTACATAGAATAACTCATTTAATAGTCACGATATCCTTATGAGGTAAGTACTATTATCCCTATTTTATATATGAGGAAATCGAGGGCTGGAGGATTCAAATAACTTGGCAGTTACACAGCTGTGGAAACAAGATTCAGACTCACAAAACTGATGCCAGAGTCCATTCTTCTTTTAAACATTTTACCTAGTAGATGTATGACTTTGAACAAACCACTTTTCTGAAATTTAGGTTCCCACCTCACAAATAATAACTCACAGGGTATGGATTAAGTGAAAATGAAAGACCTTAGCACACTGTAAGTCATTCTACAAAGGCAGTATTATCTTGTACTTGTTGGTAGGAGATATGACTACTAAGAAATGCTTATATGATTCTCAAATAGCAAAATTAAAAGTTTAATGATAATAACCTCGTAGAAGTAAGTGTAAAATAAAGCAAACTGATTCTCCTGTATTGTGATTAGGACACTCCTTTTGGAGAGCAGCTTTGCAGTTTGTATCAAGGGTTATTAAATTGCTAATAACCTTTCACCAAATAATTTTCTTTTTAATCCTAAATATAAAAAGGCTGTTTTCAGTAGATAGAAAGGCTTATTCCAGGTTTGTTTTTTTAATTGTGAAAAATATGAAGCAAACCAAGACCATTATTATATTACTTCCACTGAAGGAAATATTATACAACCATTAAAAATTTATGAATATGAAAAAGATTTAAAAGTAGAAAACACAGGATTTAAAATTGCAAATATCTAGGTATTATGACTAAGTAAAAAATGCATATGAAAAAAGATTGGAGGCCCCAATAGCAAAGAACACATCTAGTACCTAGATCTTGGTTTCCACGTACCACTGTCCACTAAGGAGTCATGGCTTCTTGGAGAAATGACCAACTCCAGGGCTGAGCAGGGGTAATATAAGAAGAGCATGGACACATCAAACTAAAAAGCTTCTGCACAGCACAGGAAATGATTAATGGAGTGAAAAGGCAATCTACAGAATGGGAGAAAATATTTCCAAGCCATGTATCTGATAAATAATATCCAAAATACATATAAGGAATTTCTATAACTCAAAAGCAGAACAACACATAACCTGGTTAAAAAACGAAAAAAGGATTTGAATAGACATTTCTCCAAAGAAAATGTACAGATGGCCAGCAGGTATATGAAAAGATGCTCAACATCACTAATCCAGGAAATGCAAATTAAAACCACAATGAGCTATCACCTAACCCCTGTTAGGATGACATTAAAAAAATGAAAACAAGTGTTGGCAAGGATGTGGAAGAATTGGAACCCTTGTACACTGTCAGTGGGAATGTAAAATGGTATAGCTGCTATGGAAAACAATATGGAGATTCCTCACCAAATTAAATATAGAACTATATCACCCAGCAATTCTACTTCTGGGAATTTATCCAAAAGAATTGAAATCAGGATATAGAAGAGATATTTGCACTCTTGTGTTCATTGCAGCACTATTCACAATAGCCAAATGTGGGAACAACCCAAATTCTATCTGCAGATGAACAGATAAAGAAAATATGGTATATACATACAATGGACTATTATTCAACCTTTAAAAAGAAAGAAATAGCTGTCATATGCAACAACAGAGACAAAACTTGAAGACATTATGCTAAGTGAAATAAGCTAGTCACAGAAGGACAAATACTGCATGATTTTACTTACATAAAGTACCTAAATAGTTAAAACTCATAGAAACAGAATGTGAGCATGGATTGGGCGTGAACCAGAGGGATTTTTGTTTTTTGGGTTTTTTTTTGTAAAGAACAGTATTGGGATAATTGGCAACATGTGAATAAGGTCTGAATATTAGATTGTAATTCTGTATCAATGTTAATTTCCTGGTTTTGATAATTATACTGTGGTTATGTTAGAGAATGGCCTTGTTTTTAGGAAACATTTAGGAGTAAAGGAGTATTGTATCTGCAAACTTAACTCTAATGGTTCAGGCAAAAAGTACTGCTGTGTATATATATTGAGAGAGAATATGGAAAATGTCAAGGTTCACAGAATCTGAGTGAAGCATATATAGGGCATCTTTGTACTATTATTTCATAGTAGAAACTACAAAAAAAAATTGAAAGGAATTGTTCCAATATGACAGTTACTGTTTCAAGGTGCTTTTATCATGGGTAGTTTTCTTTACCAGATTTTCTATAATATAGCCTTGTGTATATTTTTTGGAGAAACACCATATGTAATCTTACAGTTATGCCAGACATATACCTCAGACAGTGTACTTTAATTGTGGTAGTTGTTTTTGGACTCGATCCAGGGTATAGTATTATAGTGTCATGGCTTGGATTTTTTATTATGATTCCAGCCAAGACATCGACATAAATATACCAAAGGGAAGGACCCTGAGAGTGTGATGCAGAGACCAGTGGTGTGATGTTATACAAGGTCTTATTTCCTACATTGTTGGTTCTCACTGCTGGCTTCATGACCCTCCATCATAATCCAAGTTATCTCAAGACGTATAACTCTTACCAACCCAGTTTTTAAAAAATGTATTCTCAGTGACATTCTTAGAAGGATGGAGCACATATTCAAGCATATAATAGAATGCCGTATAACTTTAGAAAGTTTGGTAGTTACAGCTCAAAGCTATCTGGAGATGAAATTAAATATGTGAAGAGAAATTATAAATAAAACTGCCAACAGTGACTACATCTGGAGGGTGGAACTAGGGGGGGAATCAGGGACTTTCTCATGTCTATTTAAAATTATTTTGAATAAAGATTATATTTATCTGATATAAAATTATTAAGATATAAAATAGTATACCATGGAAAGTGTCCCTTCTCGCTCTGTCCCCCAGATACTCTGTTTCCCTCCCCAGAGGCAACCATGATTAACTGTTTCTGGCATAACTCCCAAGATACTGGATGCATGTAAAAGCAAATGCTTATTTTTTCCTGTTTTTCTACACAAAAGGTTGTCCATTATTGTCACTTTTAAAACAAAAAAGTTTAAGAAAACAACAGTGGTATATGAATTTAAAAAGAAAAATTAAGACAGTGAGATGTAGATAAAGAGACAGGGTAGAGTTCTCACTTCCTGGTCTAATCAGGCATTCTAAAGAATGTACATAAAAGGAACCAGAGTTAAGAACTCTGTCCTATATCATGAATTAACTTGCATGTTTCAAAGAATTTGGGACTATAGAACATATTTTGGGATTAATATAGTCTGAACTTAGTGTAGTAGTTACTTCTGGTTTAAAATAGTATCTCAATTTCCTTTTCACCTTAAATAGACTTAAGGAACAAATATATGTGTAGTTTGCTTGACGTTTTACATAAAAGAAATTTAATATATGAATTAAATTATAATTGTGTATTTTTAGGATATATCACATTAATTAAAACAGTGAATAATGTGGTACATACATATAATGGAATATATTTGACCTCAAAAAGGAAGAAAAATTTTGACACATGCTACAATATAGATGAAGCTTGAAGACATTATGCTAAGTGAAATAAGCCAGTCACAAAAGAACAAATATTGTATTATTTCAGTTATATAAAGTTTCTAGACTAGTCAAATTCATAGAAACTAGGATGATAGTTGCTAGGGTCAGGGAGAAGAGGGGATGGAAAGGTATTGTTTAATGGATGCAGAGTTTCAGTTTGAGAAGATGAATAAAAGAAAAAAATGACATTAAATTTTGTCAAGATAGCATATTGAAAATATAATAGAAAAATATTTGTTTATCTGCTATAATATATTATGTCATAGGTGTTATCTTCAGGAAGGCACACTGGACCTGCTAAATTAACAAATGGAAAGAAAGCGTAAGTACTTGAAGACGTTTACAACTTCAGATTTCAAGGAATTTTTCAGGTCTTTGGGCTGGATGACATGTCGTCTACCCCAGAAAATTAGGTAGGCCTCTACCATCACAAGCTCTGAGGAACAATTTTTCATGTCTACCCATGTTAATCATTTTAGTATTTAACAGTCTTTCTGATCTTCAGAATGTGTTTATAAATTCATCTTGTACATGGTTGGACAAGCTTTCTTGTCTTTGCTGGAAAGAAAATGACTACTTACTAATATATTTTGGGAAAAATATTTGTAAGAATATTAATAAGCTTGTTTTCCAGGACCTATTTAAGAAAAATACCACGTTTTAATGCAGATTCTGGCTATTCCATCCATTCTGATTCAGAAAGTCAGGTAAGATTGAATAGATACAATACACACTATTTTAATTAGTTTTCAAATAGTAGCTAAAAAGTAGGAATAAAATGCAAAGTATTAATTGCTCTAAGGAAGTATGAAGTCTGTTGCTTTAAAACATCTTTTCTACCAATAATAGTTTGTAAATAAACAAATTTTAAAACTACATAATTTATATTTTTTCCTACACTAACAGTCATATACAAATGTATTCTAAATGACTTTATTTCTTACAGGCTGAAACTGTACACGGGCTTGATGGTTGTGCTTCTTTGCTGAGGGACATTTTGAGAAATGAAGATTCAGGTTTTTTTTTTTTAATTCTTTGCTGATCACCTTATCTCAAGTCATTATTTTGATGTAACAAATTTTTGTTTTATTAATAGGTTCAGAAACAGCATATTTAGAAAACAGATCTAATTCTAGACCTTTAGAAAGCAAAAGATACGGATCAAAAAAGAAAAGACATGAAAAACATACTATTCCTTTGGTAGTCCAGAAAGAAACATGTAAGCCTTTTTTCTCTTAGTTATTTAAAGATAATCCTTAATTGTGGGTATTTTGATCAATTATCAGGATTATACAGTTGATTTTCATTTTAATAATCAGTATTAGTTAGGTTTATGTGTGCTTATGCCTTTCTGTATTCAGCTTCTAATCACTGAGTAGTCCACTTTGCTTGCTATCATTTTCTCAAGAAGAAAAATAGAAAAAGAGACTGTCAGGGTTTTGTAGGAGAAAAAGTTCAAACTCAGAATGACATTTGGGAGGTATATAGAGTGATCTTAGTTTCCCCTGCCACTTGTTTTCATAGATAATCATAAATTGGTTGTATTTCAAGTGTATACTTCTAGTAGTTGCTTTAAAATTATTATATTTATATATATATATATCCTAAGTTGGTCAAGCTGAACTTGTCAAGCTACACAGTTAGGATACATGGTACATAGGAAGGTAAAATCGGATGAATAAGGAAAGGCTGCTGCTGATTGGTGGTGAGTATAGCCAAGGGTACTTTACACCCTCACGGCTAACTTTTCCTAGTTTAGAACAAGAAAGTTTTGATTATGTTGTCCCTTGGAGGCCTAGAAAACAAGATAGCCCAAAATGAAGATGAAAAAGTCCACAGTGGGAATTCAGATGGACTAGAATTAGACTAGCCAGTTCTATAGTTCAGGTGGGCCAGAAATGTCAGCACTGTAGTACGTGCTTAGATTCAGCTTGGGCAAGGAATGAAGTTTAGAAAGTCATATAAAGCAGTAGCCCTATAAAGAGATCAGGATTTAAGCAAGGAGGCTGAGAAAGTGTCAGTAGAGCATTCATGGGACTAGAGGTTGATGTTTCAGATAGTCCCAAGGTAGAGAACTAAGGCAAGGGAAACCTAACTCATCTTGGAGGCCAGTAATGATAGCTTTATATTATCTTGACCTGTGCTATTCAAGATGGTAGCCACTGGCCACATGTGGCTATTCAGCACTTGAAATGTGACTAGTACAACCAAGGAATTGAATTTTAATGTTATTTAATTTAATTTAATTTAAAATTAAATTAGAAAACTGATAATTGATCCAGTTATTATAAAACTTTTAAGTATGTTTGGAATAACTTGGGCATGTGAACCTACCTTTTCAAGTGTAAATTTTATTAAATCTAAATATAGACCAAGTATTTCTGATGAGAATTTAGCATCTAGATTGTGCTTTGTGTAAAATATATGCTAGATTTAGAAGATTTAATACAAAATTTCAGTTATTTATATTATACACTGAAATGTTAATATTTTGGATATATTGATTTAAATATTATGAAAAGTAATTTTACCTATTTTATATGGTTACTGGAAATTTCAAGTTACATATATGGTTTGTATTATATTTCTATTGGACAGCATTGGTCTAAGCTCAATACACTACAGCCAGTTTTATAAGTAATGTTTAGTTATTTTATTGTGTAAATAAGATTTTATTAGAATGCAGCCAAGCTAATTTATTAATGTGTTTTTATTAGCTGTTTTTGTGCTGCAGTGTCAGAGTTGAGTAGTTTTGACAGAGATCATCTGGCCTGCTAAACCTAAAATATTTATTTGACCTTTGAAGAAAGAGTGCTAAACCCTGGCCTTAACTCTTTAAAGCAGAGGCCTTTTTATTGGGGCCCAACTGAGAAAGAAAGGAGCGGTAGCACCTGTTCCTCCAGTCTCCTACTTTTTGTCTGTAGGCAGGTTATTTCTTATCCAGGGCACCTTTCCTCAAGGAACTATTATTTGCAATATATGTGACTGGCAGTGGGTGTCATGGTATCAACTTACTGGATCCTGACTTAACTGCCTCTGTCGGTCAGAGTTCCAACAAGAAACAGATGGCAACACTCAAATTGAGGTAATTTTAGGAGGGTTTATTTACAAAGGGACTCATAAAGGTATGAATAGGGTATAGGAAAACCACAGGTTTTGCCTACTAGGTCATGCGAGCCTAGTGCTAGCAGCAGAGCAGCAGAGCTGTTATCATCTCTAGGCCATAAGGGATTAGGAGAGAGAGAGGTTACTGGATCTAGAAAGAGATACTGTTTATAGAATACGCTACCTTGAGAAGAGCAGTGAGCTTCATTGAAATGACGAAGGCAGCCCAAGGTGGCCTTATAGAAAGGGAGCAGGAATAAGTGTATATCCTGACTTCATGCTTCTTCCTTTCCTTGATATGCCAAGACTCCCATTGGATTGAACCCAACTGAAGCCCTACTGATGTATATCAGGTCTGGGATTTGACTCTTACAAGCTAGTAAGTTAGTCTTACTGTGTCATGGATGCTAGCAGAAGACAAGACTGCTGGGTCAGAGACAAAGGACTTTATTACTCACAGCACAGGAAGCAGTATGTGCATCAGCATATTGTGTTGGTTCTCATTCACCCTAGTTCCCATTGGGGTGATATGGTGGACCCATATGGATGCTGCACATGCCTTAGGTTTAGGTTGCAGCTGAGGAACACTGAGCTTGGGGAATCCGTCACTTTGGTAGTAAGCAGTAATCAAGCCTGTGCTTGTCCCAGAGGGAAACATTACCTCATCCTTCAAGGTTGCTCACTGCAGACACAACCCTGAGAAGCGGCCCAGGTAAGGAGTTTAGGTCAAAGCCTTGCTTTTTTGGTATATACAGCAAGACATATTGAAGGACTGTCTTTTTGCAGCCCATATGGATCAGCATTCCAGGGAGACCAGGGTGAAGACCAGTAGAGGTGGGTTTGGATTGGCAGATGGAAGATTCTGGCATTCTGGGTCCATAGCGTTAAATTCTTATTTGGATTACAGCCGAATCAGCAGTTCTGGCCTGTGATCAGGGTGCAATATTCTTATTGTTCTTTCTCCCATATTTTCTTAATCAGAAGGAAGGACCTACTTCCACAGGACAATCTTCTTTAGGGTTGCAATATTAGAAATTAGTTTCTAGTTGTGTGTGTGTGTGGTTGGCAGCTGTTAACCAATAATACAAGATTTTGCTTTGTTACCACAATGCTCAAAAATACACAAAATCCAAGCTCATAACTTGTTCTCTTTACCGTCTCCAAGTGAAGTAATCATAAAGAACTTTAAGCGATCTATTACAGCATGTTAACTAGTATCCATGTATTATTTTACTTTTAACACACATTATCTTGCTATTTTGTGTTAACTGTCTTCTGGGGAGTGGCCTCCTTATGTACTTTCTATCTGGGATGATATGATCATTGAATGCCTACCTGATCACTGAATGCCTATGGAGTCAGGTAAGCACACCATGATGCATTCTGGGACTAAGGAGGCAGAGAAGCCCTTCCAGAATTGTATTGAGCTTATTTGAGAGTGCTTCTGGCATTTAAAAAAAATATGTATTTTTTAAATAAGCAACTTTTACATGTGATAACTGTGTTGAATGCTTTCATGATTTTGCTTTTAGTAACATACATTGCTGTCTTCATCTTGGGGAACTAAACCAACCACAGGCAAAAATCCTTTGAGCATTGATTGCCACTCATAAAGGCCAGGTGTTCTTACGTATTTCAAATTATAGTAGGCATCTAGTGGCTCTTACCTGCACTGGATGTTTGTTCTATATTCGAGTGGCAGGAATAACTTCCTGTCAGACAGTGCTTGCACAGCAGCTAGACTTCAGGGACTGAAAAAGTTTTGTGGACTGAGTAAATGAATACTTTCCTTTCATGAATTCTAGTTATCACCTGACATCACTTAAACATTGCCAGACCAATAGCTAAAATTTTCATGTAGAGTGCGTTGGTGTAATTAACAAGAGCAAGAAAATATACTTCATTTGTATTTGTGTAGTAACAGGCTCATTTGATCATTGGTTTGTTTTATTTTAAAACTGTGTAGTAGTCATATAACTGCAGTCCTTCCCTTATGGTTTCTAACTTGTCTTGGATTGTTTGCTTTAAGACTTCATATCGTTAAGTAAAGTTACTCAACATTATCCGTAGAGATTTGTGTGGACTGAGTTTATAAAGGAGCAGAATATGTCATTTTAGTTCTAAGGCTTTGATTTTGAAGAAATAGGTTTGGAATTTATTAATTTATGTTAGTTGATGACATCTGCTGGCTGAGGCATAATGTAGCTCAGCTTTATTAGAAACTGTGAAAACCACGCCTTGAAAAGAAAGTAAATGAGAGCCTGATGCTGTGACCTGTGTGTGAAATCTGAGAATTCTTCAAACTAGCCAATTCTTAAGGACCAGAGGAAATCCAAGAGCAGAAGGAAAGACCCAGGAATCAAGAGGAAAGGACTTGTGGTATGCTAGATGGCCATGGGCTATGATCTCACCCTCTATCATTTTAGATTTCAAAGTTAAAATATTTTAGAGGGCACTTTTCCATTTGATTTATTATAAAATTGTATTTCTGGTAAGAAATAGTATTTGCTTTACAAAAGTTTATTAACCAGTTTTGTTTGAGCTGATCAGATAGTGAAGGTAACTCTTATTACTTTTGATTTTAATCATCTCAGAGGGGACATGTTCAGAGGTTTATTACTGACATCAGATAGTATGATTTATGAATATGATATATTTACTTGTCTATTGTAAGAGTGCAGCTATTTGGTGATATTTAACATTGAGTTTTTACTGTGTGGTAGACATTGCTTTAAGAAATTTACAAGTGTTACGTCATTTACATCTCTCAATAATCTTATAAAATAGGCATTATTAAAATTTTTCTGATGAGGAAAAACAGGTCAAGAGAAGTTAATTTGCGCAAGGTTACTCAGCTAATAAGTGTTAAAGCTTGTATTTAGGTCTGGAAAGTACATTTATAGGAGTAGATCATCTGAAAAGGAAGCATACCCCAAGTCAAAAGGGAAGCATCTGATATCTTCAGCCATTTTCGTAGTCAAATATTGTCTTTTTCTTTAAATTTTTTTTCTATTTTCACTGGTTATAGTATTAAATCTGCCTTTAACTTTTTCTGTTTTTGCTTTTACATGGAAGTTTTACACTTTTAGTAATATTTTTATTTTCAATAAACTATATTTGAGGGATTCTCTACTTTTAAATTTTTAATTATTTTGTTTTTTAAAAAATTAAGGAATACTTCTCATAAATAATTTTAAAGTACATAAATCTCAATAAATTTTTGCATACGTATACACCCCTGTAGCCACCACCTAGATCAAGATACAGACAATTTTTAGCACCCTGCGAGGCTCCCTCCCTGTCAGTACCCTCACCATCACCTAGACCCTCATCCCTGTGTAACCATTTTCCTGACATCTGTTTCCATTTGTGACTTTTACCTGTTTGATGACTTCCTATAAATGTGATTGAACACTGTGCGCCCTTGTGTTTGACCACTTTCAGTCAGCCTTAAGTGTATTAAACATCCAGGTAGTTGTATATATCAGTACTTTGTTGGTTTTTTAATGCTGTATAGTATTCCAGCCTGCGAGTATACCACAGTTTATCCATTTCTGCTATTCATGGCTATTTGGTGTTTTCAGCTTTGGGCTACTGCAAATCAAGCTGCTGTGAACATTCTTGCACATGTCTTTCAGTAGACATAAGCACTCATTTCTATTGGTGTATACCTGGGAGTGGAATTGTTATTTCATAGAATATATGTACGTTTAGCTTTGGTAGGTGTGACAAATATCCATATATTTTTCTAAATTTATTTTGTATACTGATAACCTATGATTTACCAGAATATTTTCATTTCTGTTAATAGTGTTTTAAAAAACCTTTGGGAAGGGGACCTAATTAGGGAAATAGTATTCAGATTGTTATACCAATCTATAGGTAGTGCTATGTAGAAAACTTTGTTGTTTTTTACT
The DNA here is from genome assembly GCF_000001405.40 of Homo sapiens. Lineage (NCBI taxonomy): Eukaryota > Metazoa > Chordata > Mammalia > Primates > Hominidae > Homo > Homo sapiens. The sequence goes on along the minus strand of NC_000003.12, from coordinate 123,950,039 downwards.
TATTACTTTGTTAATACCGATTTCTACCTTGTTCATAGACTAATACTAGGTTCTGTAAGAGAAAACAATGAAGTACAGCCCTGCTTAGAGAAACTTGTGGTTTAGTCAGAAAGGCAGGAGGATGAAAGATAAGCAATATAAGGCAGTGTGTCAGTGGCATATGATTTCTATAGACAATATGTGCTCTAGGGTGGTGAAGAGTAGTCACTAGACTGGAATGATTGGATTGGAAAAGGCTTCATGGAAGAAGAAAACTCAGATGAGCCTTGGTGAGTGGGTAGAATTGGATTGGTAGGAATGGTTCATGAACAATGTTATTGGAAGGTGAGAAAAGCTTGTTGGGTAACTAAATTGGCCTGCCTGAAATGAAAAATTGGAGTTGGGAGTGATGGGGCGATAGTTGGAAAAGTAGCTTGTGGTCAAGCTTTGGAAACTTTAAATGCCAGGCCAAGATTTTGTTTGTTTGGTTGGTTTTGTTTTGTTTTGTTTTTGAGGACCCAAAGCATCAGAATTGTACAAACTATTCTCTTTCCTATTGCATTTTCCCTTGAGAACATGAACTGACAAGGAACAAGGTGAAGGAGTTTGACTGGACTTTAGGGATAATATAACTCCCTTAAAAGAAGTGTTAAAATGAAGGAGAGATTTTACAAATGGCAAGTAGCATAAAAAATGGGAATTGTAAAGAATTAGTATAGATGATTTTTGACTGGGGAAACTTAAACACTAATTACTTTCAGAAAGAATTTGAGATGATTTTCTTTAGTAGGGGTGATAGTGGTAAAGCCCTTCTATGAAGTATGTGATGGATTGGACTACTTCTGAGAGCCCTTTCTTCTCTTAAAATCTTACGGTAAAAGTTTTTGAAGAATCATATTTCAAGAACTTTTTTCTTCTTCCACATTAGCATCTTCAGATAATAAGAAACAGATACCTAATGAAGCTTCTGCTAGAAGTGAAAGAGACACATCAGACCTAGAGCAAAACTGGTCATTGCAAGATCATTATAGAATGTATTCACCCATAATATACCAAGCCCTCTGTGAGCACGTGCAGACTCAGATGTCACTGATGAATGACTTGACTTCAAAGAACATCCCTAATGGAATTCCTGCTGTACCATGCCATGCTCCCTCTCATTCTGGTGAGTACGAATGCTGTTTAAAAATCGTGAGTGTAAGTTCTAATTAAATTGCTTGGTTACTGTATAAAAAGTAGGATATGTGATTAATTTTTTCTCCCTCTTACTTACAGAATCTCAGGCAACTCCTCATTCTAGTTATGGCTTATGTACCTCCACCCCAGTCTGGTCACTTCAGCGGCCACCCTGCCCTCCAAAGGTTCATTCTGTGCGTACAGTTCTTATACTACATAAGTAACTATTTGCTTATAGCAGTCATTCAGGAGGGACTGTTGAATTTATTGCTTATAACTTAATGCACTAGGATTTAAAGACCAGTTGTTTATTTTTTTTTGCTATAAAAGTTTTACATGTTTATGGCCGAGCGCCGTGGCTAAACGCCTGTAATCCCGGCACTTTGGGAGGCCGAGGTGGGTGGATCACGAGGTCTGGAGTTCAAGACCAGCCTGGCCAACATGGTGAAACCCCACCTCTACGAAAAATACAGAAATTAGCTGGGCATGGTGGCACATGCCTGTAATCCCAGCTACTCGGGAGGCTGAGGCAGGAGAATTACTTGAACCGGGACCCAGGAGGCAGAGGTAGCAGTGAGTGAGATCGCGCCACTGCACTCCAGCCTGGGCTACAGAGTGAGACTCTATCTCAAAAAAAAAAAAAAAGAAAAGAAAGAAAAGTTTTACCTATTTATTAATGACAATAATGAAGGAGAAAGAGGGGAAGAGATCAGTAGGAGGAAAAAAATCAACCATACTGACCACCCAAGTACAACTGCTGTTGACACACTGATAGAGTTCTTTCCAATCGTTTAATCCTCTGTATAGGTTTTAGTTTCTGGTTTGTATTTGTTAACATTTGCTTTCCTTTTAAAATAAAGTTATAAGTCAACAATACAGTCTTATATACTGCTGCTTTCACTTAATACTTTATTAAAAACATGTTTATTAATATATACCCTTTGAATTTTTAATAACTTGTTAATACTGTATTTTTTGGATATACCATAGTCTGTGTAACTACTATATGGTTAGGAGTAGTAACCATATATTTGAGTTTCTTATAATTAATATTATTATTAATAAGCAAGTTTTTAATATCAGAAACTTACTAATATTTTTAGCTTAAAAGTAAGTTGGATTTTTTTCCTCAGTGCAATAAAGATTCTTGTTTTTTAAAGCTTAATTTACCCTGTAATATGGGAGCATTACAAGGCCATGACTAAAATAGACTGTTTACAAATACCACAGATGGTTTAAAAGCATCAAAAATTAGTCCACTTTGGGAAATTACATCATAAGAAAATAAGTTTAAACATACAAAAAGTTTTTGCACAAACATATTTACAGAAATGTTTCAGCAGTGAAAAACTGGCTGTTACTTAAATGTCTAACTGTATGGGAGTAGTTACACAGACTATAGTATATCCTCAAAATATAGTGGTAACTACTTATTAAATATTCACAAAATGAATATATTAATAAACATGTTTTAATAAATATATTTCATATATTTGAGTTTGTTGTAATTAATACCTACAAATGAGTGCTCATACTTCTGAAGACTTGTTTTTATCTTTCTTTAGGAAGTTCAAACTGATGGCAACAGTCAGTTTGCATCACAAGGTAAAACAGTTTCTGCAACCTGTACTGATGTTCTACGGAATTCATTTAATACCAGTCCTGGAGTTCCATGTAGCCTGCCCAAAACTGACATATCAGCTATTCCAACATTGCAGCAACTGGGCCTTGTTAATGGAATTCTGCCACAACAAGGAATTCATAAGGAAACAGACCTACTAAAATGTATTCAAACATATTTGTCTCTTTTTCGATCTCATGGAAAAGAAACGCATCTGGACAGTCAGACACACCGAAGCCCTACTCAGTCACAACCAGCTTTCTTGGCCACTAATGAAGAAAAATGTGCCAGAGAGCAAATTAGAGAGGCCACAAGTGAAAGAAAGGATTTAAACATACATGTGCGAGATACAAAAACAGTGAAGGATGTACAGAAGGCAAAAAATGTGAACAAGACAGCTGAAAAAGTTAGAATTATAAAATATTTGTTGGGAGAGCTCAAGGCCCTGGTAGCAGAACAAGGTAGATGGGACTTATAACTTTCTGTAGTATGGTGTTATACTAAATAGCAATGTCATGTTATTTAGCTATCATTTAAATGGAGTTTGTGGTATTTTCCATAGAACTGTGTTTTGAGCTAATAAGAAAATGAGTTCTACTTATTGTATTATTTTTTAAGTTTTGATCCCTTCTTTCCTGTGGATTTAAAATGCGTTTGAGAATGTCAAACATTCAGTCTTTTGCTTGCAAGTGTGTATTTATTCTGCTTGATAATAGACCTTGAAAAGAGTCAACCAAAGAGAATTTGGACAGATAAAAATTTTAATTAGAGAATGCCTATAAATGATTAACTCCCTGAGTAGACTGATTATTCTTCCTGTTTTAAAAAGATGCAGAGAATTCTTTCCTGTCACTTCTTTAATAGCCAACTGTTAGATTGTTTAACAAATCTCACTTTGAGAAGTAACGCATACCTTCTTATGCCCTTTTCAGTGTATTTTTAGGACTTTTTTTCTTAAATCAAGGTGTTTCTGAGCCAGATTCTATTCATTTGTTTCCATTCTGTATATGTATTCTATAGTAATGGCTTTTGCTTGAAATGAGTTACAGTTTTGTCATCTTGGAAACACAGTAATTGATTTTGGAAGCATTGATTGAATACCTAACGTTTGCAGACCAAAAAAAAAAAAAATCTTAAAATGCTATATAAATGTAGCACCATTAGACCAAAGATTTAGTATATTAAAATTGCTCTGTTTTCAGACCTTCAACTTATTACCATTTTCACAGTCAGATACATAATCATGGTAATAATAATAATACCATTAGCTGTCATTTATTGAACACTTACCATGTGTCCAGCACAGTGCTAAGTGTTTTATATGCATTATCTCATTTAATCCTCCCAGCAGCCCTATGTGGTACTGTTACCACTCCCATTTTACTGATGAGGAAACTGAGACTCCGTCTCAAAATAAATAAATAAATAAAGATTGGTAGAAGACTGCTTGATCATTGAACACAGTTGTTTACTGTGTACATATACTTTTCATGAGGATGTTAAAATATCTGTGAAACTGAATACATTTTTGTAACTTAGAATACACTTTCAACTTCTAGGTTATCAGATGATTAATAAATAATTTTAAGTACTTTCAGCCCGTAGTAAATATGAATGGGAATGAGGGGACAAAGATAAAAGGCAAAAGAATTAATATCTACCTTCTATGCCTGTGTCTGTTTGCAATCTCCAAAAACATCTACTGTCCACAATTATTAACAAACTTTTGATGTCACATCAAATGAGATGTGGCTGCTTGTGTTCAATCTACTTTAGAAAATTAAGTAATGAAACTATCTTAGCAGACCCTCACTCAATATTTTGCCATATTAACCCCCTAAAGTAAATTGTTTGCTTATGCCAGGATCAAAGGTTGTATTATAAATGTTAATACTATAACCAGTTATAGGAAACCCTATAGCAATCATAGGAGTCCACTGTGGTCCTTTGTAACTATGGACTAAGAGTTTTGTGTAAGCCACATTCCTACTTGACTCTTGAACTGAAAAAAAAAAAATCACTTATGTAATAATCCTGTGATTTAAGATTAATCTTTAGTTTACTGAACTTAATTTCTTTAGAATTCTGAGGAAACAAATACCAGCAGCATGAAAGAGAAAAATGGAACCTGTATAATAAATTTATAAATAATTGAGTTGAATTTATAACAAGAATGTACATATCTATAAAGATTTTCTTTTTTAGTAATACATACTAATAATCTTGTCCAAAAATATAATATTGATTTTACTCATTTCTGTTGCCTTCTATAGAGGATTCAGAAATTCAGAGGTTGATTACAGAAATGGAGGCATGTATATCTGTACTTCCAACAGTAAGTGGAAACACAGATATTCAAGTTGAGATAGCACTGGCCATGCAACCATTAAGAAGTGAGAATGCTCAGTTACGAAGGTAAGAATTGCTCTTTGAATATTTTTGTCTGTATGCAAAGATGTCTCCTGGCCAGAACAAAGGTGCAAATGACATACCTAGGACTTCATAAGTAAAATTTATTTGCTGTCTTACTGTATTTCTACTTTTCTTCCTCATTTTTCAGAGATTTCCAGCATTCTCTAACTCTTCCTTCTGCCCACTTGTATGTATTTTCTCCCACTTATTTTACCCCTGTTGTCACTTGGTAGTGTGTAGGCAGAAAAATGAAGTACCTCTGTATATTTATCAGACTAGTCTAAGTTATGCTGCAGAAACGAACTTCTAAATCTCATTTGCATAGCACAGCAAGTTTCTTTCTCCCTCATGCCAAGACTAACATGGATCATTGGTGGCTCTTTCATCATGTGACTCAGGATCCAGACTGCCTCCATTTTATGAAGCCACTGTCTCAGTATGTGTTGTCTAGGAAAAAGAGAATGTGGATGTGGTAATGGGGGAGTCTTACATGGCTCAACCCAGAAGTGATCGTTTCGCTACCACTTATATTTTATAGGCTGAAACAAGGCACATGGCCCTGCCTAATAGAAAGGTCTGGGACATTATGTTAAAAGCAAACTGTTTTTCTTCTGCTCTCACACCACAGCAATCGACACAGAACACTTATATGACCAAATGTGTAGGGATTTCTCCCCACCAGCAAGCAAACAATCAGTTCTGCAACAGACACCAGTTGGGTGTCCTCCAGTTCAATTCCAACACTATCTACCTGGAAATGGTATCAGATCCCACAGGTTGAGAGCTCAGTTCCACAAGACTGAGCTCTACTTCCAATGCCAATCACAAGCCCCAGGTTATTTTGCCTGTGTTTCTGACTGATTGGCTATAAATCGAAGTTCCCTTGACCTCCTTCTTTGGGCTCAGTTAATTTGCTAGAGCGGCTCACAGAACTCACGGAAACACTTAGTTTACCACTTTATTATAAAGGATATTATAAAGGATACAGATGAAGAGATGCAGAGGGCAAGGTATTGGAGAAAGGGCATGGAGCTTCTATGCCCTCGGTGGGTGCACCACCCTCTAGAAAGCTCCATGTGTTTATCTGGAAGCTCTCCATACCCTGTCCTCTTGGGCCTTTTATGGAGGCTTCATTGGATAGTCATGGTTGAATCATGGTCAGCTGTGAAGAAATGTGATTTGACAAAAAGGGTATGATCTAATAGACAGAGTGGGGAAACCCAAGAAGTTCTGTCTGTTCAAATTCTGTTTGACCTCTCTGGGGAGCATTCCTTTCTCCTCAGTATGAGGCAGGTCTCCTTCAGAAATGGGGTTCTTATGACCTACAAACAGACAAGGTAGGTCAGAGAATTTCCTTATGGCCAGCTGTAAGAAAGGTGGGAGAAGATTAGAGTATATTTTTAGTTCCTATGGCCTACAATGGGGAGGAAAAAGGAGCAGGTGAAAGGATGGCAAGAGAAGGTTAGAGAGAGAGATTCTGTTTTCTGAGGCCTGCTTCTGAGGCCTAAAGTACCTGAATATTAACAAACGACTGTCTTTCACCTTTATCACTGAAGCTGGTCTGAAGCTGCTTCAGGAACCAGGGACAAAAGGCCAAATATTTTAATAAAAGGTATGTTTTTGGTTTTGACTGCTTAACAAATAACAAGGGCTGTGGGTGTTGACAGCCAGGAACTGTGAATGAAAACATATATATATATGTATGTGTATATATACGTATATATATGTGTATGTATGTATATGCAGTAATAAACATACACACACACCACACACATTTATATACAATATGTATATATAAAAATATATAAAATAATGTCACAGATATATACTTACTTCTATACACCCAGGAAGGAAAGGAGAACCTTAGTAAGCACTCGTGTAGCCCCACCACACTTAGACATAGAAAAAAGTAAAATTCTTTGATATTTTTTCTTTTGGTCATCTTAACTTGTTGGAATTACATTCTTAATTTGTTTAGGAAAGATGTAGAACAGGGATCTAATCTTGAAATATAAAAGGAATCACCCACATATTAGCAATAATATCTTAACTTTGAATGTTTCAGTGATGACCATCAAGGCCAACACTTCAGTGTCTATTTATTAATACACTTTGCAAAATATTGGAGTACATATCAGGTGCTTCTGCAGCACTGCAATGCGAATGTGCCCTGAGAGAGTGTTACAGCTGCATAAGTTATAGACATTGTGTAAGATATGACCTGCAAGGATCTACACAAATTTTTAAAGAAACTGGAAAGCAATTAAATAGTTGGAGCATAGCTAAAATATACGTATCTGGAGCCTGTAGAGGCATGATAGCTAGTGAGATGCACTCATTTAGGATTCTTTGTCTAGAGGTCATTATCCTGTAGCTACTACGATATAAGATGGGGTTGCTGGGTTTAAGATCTAATATCATCTTTAGTCTTGACCTAAGGAATTCCTATTACCAGCATAAATTTTTAAAACCAAAAGTGAGTAAATAATAAAATAATGAACAGCAAATACTGCTAACATTTATTGAATGTTTTATATATGCCAGACTATTGTCCTCGATATGTGTCACCTCTTTATATCTTCACAACAGCTTTGTGAAATAGGTGCTATTTACTCGCATTTACAGATGAGGAAATGAAGGCACAAAGAGTTTATGTAACTTGCCCAAGGTTATATATCTAAGAAGTTAAGAGTCAAGACTCGAACCCAGGCAATTTGGTTTTAGAGTACAGTGATCTTAACTTGTAGACTTTTACACTGTCTCGGTTAGGAAGTAGAGATTTAATTATACCTCACTATTTAGGTGTATTTTGTGGAACATAGAATGTATTGTAAGCCATTCAAAGTAAACAAGCATATTATTTAAAGGAATGACAATCAAATAATTGGTTCCTTAAATAAGGATACCAAAACTTAGTCTGAGAATATTGTATTTTAACATTGTCACCATGGAAAATATTAGTGGTTCTTATTTATTTCGGTTCCTTAGAACATTTTTAAATTGCCTTAGGAGCTAATTCATAAGCCACTCAAGAAAATGAAGTTTACTATTTTATGGGCCACCACTTGTTTCTAGTTTTTTTAAAAGGTATTTGTTTGATGTCTGACCTAATTCTTCAACTGGCACCAGAGCTATTTGGCTGGCTGTCTTTACAGGACAAAGATTATATAGCATGCTATTGCCACTGTTGTTTACTTGACCTTCTAAAAGATGAAATAACTAAAAAATGAAGAATTTATTAGATATGTTCTTTTTAGCAGAATGAGGTTTCTGGCAGTAGTGTAGGAAAGTTTGTGCCACTTTGGTAATCTATTTGGAAAGAATTACCCATTATCTCCATTACAAATAAAAATTGGAATACATTGGTTCATTCGAAAGTGTTTCTCATCATTTTCAATTTTTAAAGAAGTATTTTTTTTTTCCTGTTTAGATATTTGGAAACTACATGTTTCTTTTTAACCACATCTTTCAGGACTTTCTTGGAGTTTATTGCCATCTTGTGGCTTAAAAAATAGCTAGATGCATCGTTTCTATGATATTTTGGCATTTTTGGCATTTAGGCTAGACAGTTTTTAATGTGTCTTCTGATATAGTTATTCAGCATTTAGCCTTCCTGGTCCCCAACCACTAAATGTCTGTGGTGCCCCATTAATTTTGACCACCAGAAGGCCTGGCACATTTCCAAATTTCCTGGATGGGAGTTTGGTGGGTATTACCTCCAGTTAAGAGCCATTGAGCTAGAGAGTGCCAAGAATTCATGACCACCTCCTGATATTAAACTCAACTATGAGACCATTATGTAGCCACACAGAACATAAAAATGAAACGGGAGTGAATGGAAGGAGTCAAGGATGATGTTCAGGTTCTGTCTTCATAATTTAACAAATGTTAGCATAATTCTTCCAGATGGGAGCTACTAGAGGAAGAATAGATTTGTTTTATTTCATACTGTTAATGTTTTTTGAGTTAGGCAAGGTAATAGGAGAGCCTGTGAGTTAAGATTTAGACCTGCTGAGTTAGACTGTCTGGAGTACAGGAACAAGATGAAAGATGGAAATGTAGACTCGGGAATTATTCTCTGAACATGTTTTTATTGAGCTTTTTGTATAGATCTGGCACTGTTGTAGACACTGGAGACAATCTGATTGAAAGTAAGTGATCTGTTACCAGCATATAAGTAAGTGGTATATTCACCAAGAAGGTAGAGTGTGTGAATGCAGTGAAAGGTGAATTGCTGGGGAGTAACAACTTTTTAAGGAAAGAACAGAAGATTAAAATTAGGAGAGTGACATCACAAAAGTCACAGGAAGAAAACAATTTATAGGAGAGATTTTGCATAGCATTAAAATAAACAGACAACAAGAACAAAGGTAGGTCCAGAATAAATATCACAAGACAAATTACTCAAAGAACTTCAGAAAAACTTAAAACAGTATTCCATAGTCTCAAGGAAATTAAAGATAGTAGGATCTCTTACAGGGAGAAAGACTGAGATTGAGACAAAGTGCTCAAAGAAGAAAAAGAAAAAGAGAAGAAAAGTGAGTTAAGTGAACTCAGAAAAATAAAGCAAAAAAATTACAAAAATGAAAGAAACAAATGTAAAATCATTAATAAACAGACAAACTCAGGGATATTGTAGTCCACTAGAACTTAAGTATTGTGAAGCCTGAAGTTTTTTGTTTTGTTGTTTTTTGGGCTTTTAGGTTTTTTTCCCTAAGTCTTTCTGTTTTAATTGCTACTAAATTCATAGTTCAGTGTCTCCTACTACCCTTAGCTTCTTCCTCTTCCTAAACCCTTTAAAAAATTTTTATTTTTATTATGGTAAAATATATATAATATTTACCTTTTTATTTTTAACCATTTGTAAGTGTACATTTCAGTGGCAATAAATAAATTCACAATGTTCTGTAGCCATTACCACTATCTGTGCCAAAACTTTTTCATCCCCAACATGAACTCTGTACCCATTAAACAGTAACTTTCTCTTCTTCCTTTTCTTACTTCCTCGTAAGTTCTTGTTTTTTGTTGTTTTTGTCTCTGAATTTGAGAAGGCTGAAATTTTGTCGCTTTATAGTTTGCAACTATATTTCTAGTGCTAGGAATTGTGCCTAACACTCACTCTAACAAATATTTGTTAAATTGACTGAATGCATGGTAGATAAGCTTGAGGGAATCACACAAGGCAAAATAGAAAAAGAATGATCTAAAAATTATTATGAAGAAGATAATACATATGAAAAAGAAAATAGATATAAATTAGTGTTCCTGAAAAAAGAGAACAGAACAAATGGATTAAAGACAATATTAAGATATTTATAAATAAAAGGGAAAATTTTCTGGTTGTACCACTTTATTCTAGCCTGGGAAACAGAGCAAGACCCTATCTCTAAAAAAAAAAAAAAAAAAGATCTGTGTCAGCAGATGAATAGGACATAGAAGATCTCAGAAAAACCATGCAAAACAATCAACACCAACACATATGCTGGTTAAGTTACTACACCCTAAGGATGAAAAAAGTTAATTTTTGGAGGCACTCAAAAGAAATAGAAAATTATGTATGAAGAGAAAAATTTTAGGCTATCTCCAGCCTTTCCACGGTGATTTTCGTTGCCAGGGGATCATAGAATATCATTTACAAAGTTCTGAGGGAAAGAAAGTATGCCCCGAGAATCTCTAATGTGGTCTAGCTGTCCTTTTAGTGCAAAGGCAACAGTCATATTCTCAAGTGTGCAAGAACTTAGGAAGTTTAACACCCTTGAACTCCTTTAAAAAACAAAACAAAAAACTTGAATGGCAAAGTCCAGTCAACCAAAAGGTGAATTCAAACAAAAGAGTAGACAGATGTGAACATTGAATCTATACATAAAACTAAGACAACCGTGGAAATTATGGTTATAGATCAGAATGTGTTAGTAATCTTGACAATATGAATTCCAAACTCTGCATTTTTCATATCCTATTTCCTAAATTTTAGATTACTTAGGAATAATATTTCTTGAAGTAAAGAAATATTTGCCTAATCAGTTTTGGTTTCACTTGTTAATTTCTTTCCATTAAAATCATGTAATCCTAAATTCAATGCATAATATTTTAAAATAGTTTTTGTAATATTATCCCATTATTTTAAAATTCTTCTTAGATATTTGTTTTTTTGTCTCTGCATATGCTGGAGAATGTATGAATGTTATCCAGCAAATAATGATAGTTATTTCTGTTTAACAATGTGCTAGACGTTCTAACAAGTGCAGTAAGGCAAGAAGAAATAAAAGCCAGCCACATTGGAAAGGAAAGAAGTAAAACTGTTTTGTTCACAGATGACATGATAACTCTTGTAGAAGATCCTATGGAATCTACAAAAATGCTGCTAGAGTTAATAAGAAAGCTTAGCAAGGTTGCAGGATACAAGATCAATTGTATTTTTATGTGCCAGCAATGAACAATTTGAAATTAAATTTAAAATCAGTACTAGAGTAGCATCAAAAAAATATGAACAATTTAGGGATAAATTTGAAAAATATGTAAGACCCATACACTGAAAACTACAAAATATTGCTGAGAGAAATTAAAGATCAGTATAAGTGAGAGATAAACCAGATCCATAAATGTAAGACTTAAGATATCACTTCTCCCCAAATTGATGTATAGATTTTATGTAATTAAAGTAAAAACCCAAGCATGCTTTTTAAAAATATTTAATTGAAGCTGATTCTAAAGTTTACATGGAAATTTGAAGACTCTAAAGTACCCAAAACAGTATTGAGAAAGGAAAACCAAGTTGGTACTATTCAATTTCAAAACATAAAGGAATAGTATTCTAAGAGGTGTGGTGTAAAGGTGACAAATAGATCACTGAAACAGAATAGAGTCTAGAAACAAATTCACACATAGAGATAGTGTTTTGCAAAGATATCAGAGAAATTCAGTGGGGAAAGAATACTCTTTTCAATAAATAGTGCTGAAACAATGAGAGAGTCATGTTTTTAAAAAATGAACCTCAACCTTTACCTCATACAGTATACAAAATTGACTTGAAATGAATCACAGATCTTAATGTATAAACTAAAACTACAAAACCTCTGAAAGGAAACGTAAGAGAAAATCTTAGGGATTTTGGATTGGGAAAGATTTTAAAAATACAACACAAAAAATATAAACTAGAAAAAAATGAGTAAAGTGGACTTCATCAAAATTTAAAACTTCAGTTCTTCAAAAAACACTTATTAAAAATGAAGAAGCAACCAACAGACTGAGAGAAAATATTTGTAAAACATGTACCCGATAAAGGACTTGTATTAGAATGTATAAAGAACTTAAGACAGTATAAATTTTTAAATATCAAGTTGAAAAATGGGCAAAATATTTGAACAGACACTTCACCAAATAAGTGGATATCAAATATGAATATCAAATAAGAATATAGAAAGATGCTTATCAGTAATGATTAGGAAAGTGAAAATTAAAACCATGACAAAATACCACTGCATACCCATTAGAATGGCTAAAATTCAAAATTAATAAATGTTGGGATGTGAAGGATTTCACAATTAACTGATGGGAATGTAAAATAATTTGAACACTTTGGAAAAAAAGTTTGGCAGTTTCTTAGAAATTAAACATATATCTAACATATGATCCAGCCAGTCCACTCCTAGATATTTAAGAGAAGCCAAAGCATGTGTCCACACAGAAACTTGTTGATGAGTGTTCATAGGAAACAACCCAAATGTCTATCAATAGGTGAATGGATAAACAAATAGTGCTATATCCATACAGTAGAATACTACTCAACAATAAAAGGGTAAGAACTATTGATACATGCAACAGCATGGATGAATCCCAAAATTACTATGTTGAGTGAAGCCAGGCTAAAAGAGTATATATTCCATAATTCCATTTATATAAAATTCTAGAATATGCAAACTATAAATAAGTGCTTATCTGGGAGGAGAGAGTTATGAAAAGGGCTATGAGGAAACTTTAGGGGTGATGAATATGTTTTTTGAAAAATTTTTAGCTTTGAGGGTACACGTGAAGGTTTGTTACATAGGTAAACACGTGTCACAGGAGGTTTGTTATACATGTTATTACATCACCCAGGTATTAAGCCCAGTACACAATAGTTATCTTTTCTGCTTTTCTCCCTCCTACCACCTTCCCCTCCCTCCTACCATCCAGACCCCAGTGTCTGTTGTTTCCTTCTTTGTGTTAATAAGTTCTTATCATTTAGCTCCCACTTATAAGTGAGAATGTGGTATTTGCTTTTGTTTCTGCGTTAGTTTACTAAGGATGATAGCCTCCAGTTCCCTTCATGTTCTTGCAAAAAAACATGATCTCATTCTTTTTTATGGCTGCTGATGGATATCTTAATTGTGATGGTGGTTTTACTACATCATATGGCAGAAAATAAAATGACACACTTTAAATTTATGTAGTTTATAGTATGTCAGTTTTATCTCAAGCTGTCTAAAAAAAAAAGAATGACTTGAATAAAAGAAATATTTGCCTAAGTAGCAGCAGTTCTTTTCCTTTTTTAAAATCCAGTATATTTAAATTTCGTACATATCTTAAAATAGCATGTGTAACATCAATTTTTAAAATATCCTTTTTTCTGTTTTTATCATGTATCATTTTAAATAGAATATTTTTTTAAAAGCCTAGCCCTGAAAGCAGGGAATGAGAGGAATGAAAGTAGCTACTTGTACAGTTAGGTTGGAGGGAATTTTTTTAAAATATGGGAAGAGTTTTAATATGTTTCTTGGCTTAGGCACATGAACTGGCAAAGAGGGAGAAACTGCAGATACAGAAGATAAAGGGAGTGGGATAGGAGCAGAGTCCTTGATGGTCTAGGAGGAGAATGGGATCCAGGGCACAGATAAGGCTACTCATCAGACTAGATGGAAAAAATGAGGGCTAATACACATATGGATACACCCTGGGACCAAAGGATGACTGTGTTTGTCCCCAAACCACATTATTTTTAGTGAAAAAAGGAAAGTATACAATTGAGAAGAGGAGGGTAGGAATGAGAGGCTTGCAGTGAATTATTAGAAGTTTAGATTGGTTACGTTTGGGAAGAGAAGAATCTGACCAGGGACATACAAAAGGATTATCGAGGAAAGCTTCTGTTGTAAAGGGGAAACCTTTAAAGAAAATCAGAATTTTATTAAAACAAAAATAAGCTCACATTATACTGTTGTTCTGCAGCTTGCTGCTTTCACTTCATAATGTGTCTCAGAGATCTTTTCACGTCAGTACAAGTGGACCTCTCGCTTTTTTTATTATCTGTGTATTAGTATTTCATATATGGATGTACCATAATTTATGTAGCATTTTAAGTTGTTTCCAACTTGGCACTATTAAATAATTGCTGTTGTGAACATCCTTGTATGTATCTACAAGGTGGGAGATGCTTTTGCACATGTAAAACTGTTTCTGATGCTTGATAACCTAGAAGTAGAATAATTTTGTCAGAGATTATGAACATTTTACATTTTGTTGGACATTTCAAACTGCCATCCAGAATGGTTATACTGATATAATCACATGAATTGAGTTAATTCATTTCCTGTACTATCATCAGAAAATGTTATTTCTTTTTATTTTTGTCAATTCTATGGCCAAAAAGTACCTTCTTTTAAATTTGCAATTCTTCATGTTAGTGAAGATGAGCATTTTTATCATATGCTTATAGGCCATTTCTATTTCTTAGGTGAACTGCTCATTCTTATCCTTTGTCACTTTTTACTAGGTTGCCTTCCTTACTGATTTGTAGGAGTTCTTTAAATGTTATGGACCCCTTGTCTATAACATATGTGCAGGTATTTTCTTTCAGGCTTTTAATTCTACAGGTTTCAAATTTTGCTATGGTTAAATCTTTCGTTCTTTTCCTTGATGCTTGCTGGATATTGAGTTTCACTTAGAAATGCCTTCCCGACTTCAAGATTATGTAGATTTCCCCCTAAAACTTGTATAGTTGGGTTTTGTTTACATATTTTATCACTTTAATCAACTCGAAATTAATATATGTGAGTGATGTGAGGTAGGGTACTATCATTTTAGAGTTAGTACCAAAAATAAATATTTTAAGGCAAAATATTTTTAGGTAAGTAATTCTGGAAAGATAATAGAGGTAACTTTTGTCCCCATAAGCGATAACTTCTTAGAAGTAAAGAAAACACTTGCATATGTTTCTATTTGTGAAGCAGATACATATTGTGAAGTTCATTGTAACAGGGCAGATTTGTAGCCTGTTAATATTCTCGTTACTTAAGACCATTAACTTTTCCATCTAATAAAATTATTAGAAGCATAGATTTGTGTTTCAGCATATGACAAACATCAGGCAGATAGATGTCTGATAGCAGTCAGTGCTTGTAGGTATTCTAGTTGATAGTAATGACAAATCTTTTAAAAAGTAGATGATTAACTACAGTGATGAAGATACACAGAAAGACGATGAGAAACAGCATGAGCAGATAGAAAAGGAAAGAAATAGAAAAAAAACAACAAATCACTGAAGAGACAAAAAAGAGAAATTAACACTTTCCTCATGAGGGTTTTTTTTTTTTTTTTTTTTTTTTTGAGGCAGAGTCTCACTCTTTCGCCAGGCTGGAATGCAGTGGTGCGATCTCACTCACTGCAACCTCCACCTCCCAGGTTCAAGCAATTCTCCTGCCTCAGCCTCCCAAGTAGCTGGGATTACAGGCACGCGCCACTACGCCCAGCTAATTTTTGTATTTTTAGTAGAGATGGGGTTTCGCCATGTTGGCCAGGCTAGTCTCAAACTCCTGACCTCAGGTGATCCGCCCACCTCGACCTCCCAAAGTGCTGGGATTACAGGCGTGAGCCACCGCGCCTGGCCCATGAGGGGAGGTTTTATGTTGTTTCAGGCAACCTTAAAAATTATCTCAGGCCTCATAATAATAGTAGTATGGTTTTGTTTTTGTTTTGTTTATTTAGTTTTTGTCTTTTGGGGATGAGATGGACTTCTGCTGTCTTAGTGGGTTTATGTTTTATCTTTTTTGATAGGCTATCACATGTATACTATTAAATTGGCTTGGTATGCTTGCATTCATAGTTCTTCATTATTTCTTTAGGCAGTTGAGAATTTTGAACCAGCAACTCAGAGAACAACAGAAAACTCAAAAACCATCTGGTGCTGTGGATTGCAACCTTGAATGTAGGTAAAAGAACTTTAAGGATTGATAAATTATTTGTGGCTCCGGAAATGTTGATAAAGAATTGAGCTTTTGTAATTACTTTGAGGGGATAAATTTAAAATATTGTAGAAACATAAGAAAATAAAAGATGCTGTCACTTCCCAATAATATACACCTTTTTTTGTTTGTTTGTTTTGAAATACAGGAGTGTGTTTCCTTTTACATATCTTCTCTTCATATATAATTGATTTATTTAACACTTACTGAATACCTACTGTGTGCCAGGCACAAATAGAACTATATATGTACTTTTTTAAAAATGAGATCACACTGTACATACTTTTCCACAGCTTCTGTTTATTCACTTAACATATAATGGACACTTTTGTCTATCAAAATACATAATTATGCATCTTTCTCTTTAAGAATTACTTGGGTATTCTGCTTATCCAGGTCTACCATAATATGGTCCTTTGCTAATAGTACTTTCCCCTTTTTTCCCAGTGCAAACAACATTGCAGTGAAAATCTTTGTATATGTCTTTGTGCATATATGTCAGCTTTGTTTGTTTGTTTGTTTGTTTGTTTGTTTGTTTTGAGACGGCGTCACTCTGTGGCCCAGGCTGGAGTGCAGTGGTGCGATCGTGTCTCACTGCAACCTCTGCCTCCAAGGTTCAAGTGATTCTCTTCCCTCAGCCTCTCAAGTGTCTGGGATTATAGGCGCCTGCCACCACGCCTGTCTAATTTTTGTATTTTTATTAGAGACAGGGTTTCATCATGTTGGCCAGGCTGGTCTTGAACTCCTGACCTCAAGTGATCCACTCACCTCGGCCTCCCAAGGTGTGGGATTACAGACAATGAGCCACCACGCCTGGCCAGCATTTTTGTAGGATAGATTTATAGCAGTAGAATTGTTGAGCCAAAGGGTATATACAGTTGCAATTGTGACAGATATTGCCAAATTGTCCTTAATGATCACAGAGCTTAATAAAGAAACTATAATAGTACCAGAAGAAAATATAAGAATTTTTATTTTTTTATTTTTTTGGAGGGGAACTTTTCCTAAGCCTGACAAAGACTCAAATGCCACAGAGGAACAGATTGATAAAATATGTCCCCAGAAAACTTTTTCAGTTTCTACATAGCAAAATTATAAATACATTCAAAACATAAGCAAAATGGAGAAACAATACATGACATGATGAAGGCTTAATCTTCTTAATATATAAATATGTCTTATAAATCAATAAGAAAAAAATATGATTGCCCAACAGAATGAGCACTTTATAAAAGTGTTCAGTTTCACCAGAGTGATTCAGAAATTATCACTGTGTCTCCACTGTTAACCAAAGGTGAGGAAAGGGAGAGGGTAGGAGAGAGGAGGCCTAGAGGACAAGTGGGGAGATCAGTAGTTGCCACTTTAAATAGCTTCTCTTATTTATATTATCTGATCATTTATCTTATTGTTTCTTTGAGATCATTACTGTGTATAATTACTTGTTTGTTATCAGCTCTGTGAGAACAGGGGCCACGTCTGTGTTGTTCATCTCTGTATATTCAGATTCTAATACAATACCTCACACATAGGAAGCATTCGCTGAGCATGTATTTGCTCAACAAATGGTGCCATATACTTTTATCGCCATGAAAAAGAACGTGATAGATCTATGTGTTTGTATACAACAGTCTTATGGGAAAAAAAGGCAAAGTTAGAAATTGTGTATAGTATGTGTGTGTATGTAGTGTAATTAATACCATATGTAAAAGTGTTTTCACGAAAGATACCAAAATTAATACTGATTGTCTCTGGGGACAGAGAGGAGGAGTGGAAGGGAGATTCTTCATTGAGAATCATTGACATTCTGTGGTGTTTGAATTTTTTAACTTTGTACATGTATTATTCTTTTAAAAGGATTATGTATTCTTTCTTTTAAAAGGGTTTAAAAAATTAATGCTTAAAATGTCAACTGGAAAAGAAAGGTATGACTTCTGCCAATCATTTTTAAAAATATATGTAGTATTTATGTAGAACTGCTCATGCAATTAATCGTTAAACAAAATCAATAAATTTCAGGCCTTTTTTTTTTTTTTTTAAGAAACAGGTATTTTCCAAGTTTGTACTTTTTAGGTTTGGGAAACAACTATTTGATCCATTTTGTCTTAACAGTGTTTTCTCTTCAGTCATTGAATATGTCACTGCAAAATCAATTGGAGGAGTCACTAAAGAGCCAGGAATTACTGCAGAGTAAAAATGAAGAGCTGTTAAAAGTGATTGAAAATCAGAAAGATGAAAACAAAAAATTTAGTAGTATATTTAAAGACAAAGATCAAACTATACTTGAAAATAAACAGCAATATGATATTGAGATAACAAGAATAAAAATTGGTACGTATTTAGACAGTAGTTATGGTCACATCTTTTAAAAGGAATAAGGAAACTGAAACTTTTGTTGTTTTAGAATTGGAGGAAGCCCTAGTCAATGTGAAAAGCTCCCAGTTTAAGTTAGAAACTGCTGAAAAGGAAAACCAGATATTGGGGATAACATTACGTCAGCGTGATGCTGAGGTGACTCGACTAAGAGAATTAACCAGGTAAAATTGACTTCCTTTGAATAACTCATGCCTTTTTTATTTTTAGATGTTTTTATAAACTTCAAAATAATGTTAGACCTGTTTTCTCCCCCATATCTTTTTCTCTTATTTTGCCAATGTTTTTGCTAATTTCTAATGATGTTTTCTTCTGTTCCAATTAAATTAGTTTAGGAATTTCAAACCTGGCGAAATGTTTTTTTAAAACCATGTGATTCTGGGCAGGGGGTCCTGATGAGAAGCTGAAGACTTGTATAGCAACACCATTGAGCCCTCTGGTTCTGAAGCTAGAGAGATCTGACTGGAATCCCAGCTCTGCCACATATTAGCTGAGTAACTTTGAGCAAGCCATTTAACTTCTCTAAACCTCAGCTGTAAAGTAGGGACATGAATAGAGTTGTCATGGGAAACTAAGAAATCATTCATGAAAAGCACTTAGCATGGTAAGCCCTCATGCCATATGATCTTGGGTAAGTCAGCCTCTTTCAGCATTATTTCATCAGTTAAATGAGTGAGTTGGCAGTACCCCTTGAGATCACTTCATTCCCTAACAGTATTTTTCTAAAATAAAATTACCTCACTCAATTTTTCTATGATATTCACTTACAAAATTCAGTTTTCTTTTGAGATATTTGCTAAGAATTGGATTCTCAACTGCTTTTTAAAGTTCTAGGCGAGAAGTCAGTTATCTGAGGCCTAAAGATCTGCAGATCTGACTTTGTCTTCGAATGATCCTAGAAGTTCCAAATATAAAATAATCTTGAATATAAAATAATCTTCCTTGTGTTTCCAATGAACAGATCGATTTTGAATTTTCAACTTCCCCCCTCATTTTGAATGATAAACTTGTAGGGAAGCAAATGAAACAGTAATATATAACATTTAATTTATTAATTTAGTTTTATAAATGTATTTGAAATTAATGATCTGTTCACATGGAAATATTGCCCTTTTTCCACATTTATATTTCATAGGATATTTGCATTCAAACTTTTATTTAACAATGGCAAAAGCAAGACATTTTTTGTAATCATATAATTATAATTGATTAGGTTCTAGTCAGAGGTTCTGAATATTGGCTTATACCAGTCTTATTCAAAATAAAGTAATAGAATGTCCCTTCTTATGGAAGTCTTTGTAAGGTATCCCAAGGAATGTTTCCTTTTTTCTAAGGAATAATTTTGTGGTGAGAATTTTGTTAGTGTCAAGTATTTATACTAAGAGAAACCAGTAACAAAAGGCCACATATGGTGTGATTCCATTTATACGAAATGTCCAGAATAGGCAGATTCACAGAGACACAAAGTAGATTAGTAGTTGCCAGGGGCTGGAGGAACCCAGGGGTGTAGAATGGGAAATGACTGCTAATGGGTAGTTTCATTTAGGAGTGATGCAGATGTTCTGAAATTAGATAGTGGTGACAGTTCTCAACTCTATGAATATACTAATAACCACCAAATTTTGCACTTAAAAGGAGTAGATTTTGTGGTATGTAAATTATATGTTGGTTGCAGGGCCTCATGCCTGTAACCCCAGCACTTTGGGAGGCCGAGGTGGGTGGATCGCCTGGGCCCAGGAGCTCGAGACCAGCCTGGGCAACACAGCAAAACCCTGTCTCTACAAAAAATACCAAAGTTAGCTGTGCGTGGTCGTGCATGCCTGTAGTCCCAGCTACTCGAGAGGCAGAAGTGGGAGGAGCCCAGGAGGTGGAAGCTGCGGTGAGCCACTATCATGCCACTGCATTCCAACGTGGGCGACAGAGTAAGACCCTGTCTCAAAAAAATAATAAATAAATATATTAAAATAATATCTCAATAAACTGTTATTTTGTAAAAGTTATATATGGTATACAGTCTGTTTAGTAAAGAAAAAGGAAGAAAAGAAAAAAATAGTGAGTCAGCATGGTCAAGTGCCATGAGAGTTTGCTTAGGAGTTACTATGAGCATCTGCTTCATTCTAAGGGGCAACTCTTAGCCCCAAGCAGAAAATCCGATGAAGCGGAGGATGTAGTTCTCTGGTAGTTTTCCTTCCTTCTCACAATCTTTTTTGTCATACTGCTAAATTCAGCTTCTTTATGGGTATGAAATCACAAGCTGATATCTTTTATTTATAAAGTACTTTGATTTTTTTCAAAGTTCTGTCTTTCCTATGTCATTTTATTTGTCCTCATCTATGGAGGGAAGATTTTAGTATCTGCATTTTCATAGATGGGCAAACTGAGGCCACGCAAATTAAGTATTAGTAGAATGTTAATAACAGAGCTGGGACTAGAACTCACATCTTTTAATTTCTAGCCAGATGTTCCTCTTGCACATGGAGTGGCTTTAGCCATGGTGACAACTCCATGCCTGATTTAGCCTAAGTAAACGTTATAATTTTTTTACCTGGGAGGTAGACGGATGAATGGATGGATTCGTTTGTTTATTCAACAAACATTAATTTTGTATTATGTTCCAAATATATATGTGTGAAGCATACATAAAAATATTTAATTACTTTTAGTTGCTAAATATCCACATTGACAAGTGAAGAGCTTATTCTAGTGCTTTACTGACATATGTAGGGATACATCTTTTTTATTTATTTATTTATTTTCTTTGAGACATAGTCTCACTCTGTCGCCCAGGCTGGAGTGCAGTGGCGCTATCTTGGCTCACTGCAAGCTCCGCCTCCTGTGTTCACGCCATTCTCCTGCCTCAGCCTCCCCAGTAGCTGGGACTACAGGTGCCCTCCACCACGCCCAGCTATTTTTTTTTTTTTTTTTTTTTTTTAGTAGAGACTGGGTTTCACCATGTTAGCCAGGATGGTCTCTATCTCCTGACTTCATGATCCACCAGCCTCAGCCTCCCAAAGTGCTGGGATTACCAGCGTGAGCCACCGTGCCAGGCCAGATACGTCTTTTTTTAAGTAAATGCATTGCACATGTTGACAATACTATTCAACATATGCAATGCATTTACTAAGAAAATTGGTAACAAAAACATAAGAAAAATCTTTCAGAGTAACAGTATAACTTTTCTAGAAATTAGTAGAAATGGAAGCCCAAAGAAAAAAGGGACTTACCTGACTTTCACAGCTAGTGTCTGAACTAGGACCAGAGCCAGGATTTTGGATTCTGTCTTCAGCTTTGCTTTCTGTTTTAAAGAGGACAGCTTTTCTCTGAATAAAGATGCTCCATTATTGAGGGATTCTTCTACCTGTGTAGGAGATACTTTTGTACCTGCTCATTCTTTCAAAATAACATGCAGTCTGCCTTTTCCATTGTTTATTCAGAATGAAAAAATGTAACTGGAGCCTTTTTTTTTTCCTTAACATTTATCTAACATAGAAGTATAGGAACTGAAAAAGTTCATTAATTCTTGCTATTTGCCTTTATAAAAGGCCCTGTCTAGAATATTAGATACAGACTTTTGCTCTCCTTTTCGTAAGACTAAAGAATTTTCCTATCAGTTTTTTACATTTTTGTTAAGCACGTTTTTATGCTGGGCATAAATCCTGCCTCATGACTACTAGCTCACCTGTCAGATTGACTGCACTCTTATGAATGATTGTAAAAACATGATGGGAAGGCTTAGCACAGTATCTCATGTAGAGTTTAGCACTATCCCTACATTTTCTAAAGATTTAGAAACAGCTTCAAAATTCTAAGTACGTTCATTGATGTCAGTTTTATACTTTTTTTTGTTTTGAGGCAGAATCTCGCTCTGTCACCCAAGCTGGAGTCCAGTGGTGCGATCACAGCTCAGTACCGCCTCAACCTCCCTGGCTCATGCAATCTTCCCACTTCAGGCTCCCAAGTAGCTGGGACCACAGGCACATGCCACTGTGCCCAGCTATTTTTTTTTTTTTTTTTTTACTTTTAGTAGAGACGAGGTCTCGCCATGTTGCCCCAGCTGGTCTTGAACTTCTAGGCTCAAGCAGTTCTCCCACCTTGGCCTCCCAAAGTGCTGGGATTACCAGCACACCCAGCCATTGTTTTGTTCTTTACATTAAAACAAAACAAAAAAGTCTCTGAGCTTAATTATATCTAAATTCATCCACATTGTTGATTTATAATTTCTTTGATGACACCCTATGCAATTCAATTGGTTAGGAACATCTCTAGTACTATAAGTGGATTGCTGTGACCATTTTAATTTTACTTTGGACGTTAGAGTGTAAAGCACCAGCATCCGACAGTACAGATAAATCTACATGCTCTTCTACTCCTTCACTCTTCCCATAGTCACCTTAGTCAGATAGGCATATGGTTTTGGTATGTGTGTTTTAAATAATCTCCGAAAAGAGATTTTGTAAAATTTCTGAATGCCTTTCTCAGACTTTGGGGGAGGAGTAATGGGACTGAAAGGTACATGTACAAGGTCTAAAGAAATACCACAAACCCTCTTTCTTTTCCTTCTCCAACCTTTAATGATTTTAAATGTGCCTGTGTCACTTTTTTTTCAGATCTTACTACAACATGTTATAAAACCATTAAAATGTGAGGAAAATTAATATTTTAAATATTAATTTAAATAATATTTTAAATATTAATTTAAATAATATTTATATTTAAAAATATATAAATTAAATAATATATAACATTATTTAAGTAAATAGTGAATAGTTTCAAAGAGCATTCTTACAAGTACTCATAGTTATTTAAATTAATATATTTTTGTAAGTAGCCTAGAAAGAACCCTGCATTTGTTATGAAAATGTGCCAGTTTTCTAAGTATTAAAAATCAGTGTCTTTAGCTGAATTATGTATAATAGAAACACCAATATATCCGCTTGTCACAGTTTAGGTGCTCATATTCCTTCCTTTAAAATTTTAACGTTTTCATATTTCTTACAGAGATTTTTAATTTCAGAGACAATGGTGAGTCATATTCTGTTTATACATCAGAAGATTAGTAATTGCTACTAATTTCCAGAAATTAAGCTTTTTTAAATGTCATTGTCCCTTCCTTTCTTTATCTCTGATTTTATCTATAGCAACAGTAATTTTTTTTAAAACTGGAAAGAAACTTCAATATAAGTATTCCTTTACTGAAAATAAACAAAAATAAAAATTTCGGTATGCAGTCTGATCAAATTAATTAGTGGGTCATTATTCGTTACAGCATTCCTTCAAAGATATGTTTCTCCAGCATATTTTTGTGTTGTAGTAACAACTCATTAGCTTCTTTTAATATCATAATTGACAAATTAATACCATTTTAACTATATTTATGGGGTACAGTGATGTTTTGGTATATGTAAACAAGGTGAAATAACTAAATCAAGCTAATTAAATGTCCATCATCTCACTTATTGTATTTTGGAGTGAGACATTTGGAATTTACTTTTTTAGCAATGTTGGATTATTATTAAGTATAATCACCCTAGGCTGGACGTGGTGGCTTCCGCCTGCAATCCTAACACTTTGGGAGGCCAAGGTGGGCAGATCACCTGAGGTCAGGAGTTTGAGACCAGCCTGGCCAACATGGTAAAACCCTGTCTCTACTAAAAATACAAAAATTACCTGGGCATGGTAGCAGGTGCCTGTAATCCCAGCTACTCGGAAGGCTGAGGCAGGAGTATGACTTGAACCCAGGAGGCAGAGGTTGCGATGAGCTGAGATTGCACCACTGTACTCCAGCTTGGGCAACAGAACAAAACTCCATCTAAAAAAAAAAGTATAGTCACCCTACTGTTCAATAGAACCCACAAACTTATTCCTTCTATGTAACTGAAACTTTGTACCCTTTGACTAACATCTCCCCATTTCCCATACCCTACCTTACATCCACCACAACCCCAGTCTCTGGTAACCACTATTCTACTCTCTGCTTCTATGAGTTCAACTTTTTTATATTCCATATATAAGTGAGGTCATGCAGTATTTGTCTTTCTGTTCTTGGCTTATTTCACTTAACATATGGATGTCCTCCAGGTTCATTCATGTTGCAAATGACAAAATTTCCTGGGTTTTTTTTTGTTTTTTTTTTAAGGCTGAGTAGTATTCCAATATGTTTATATGCCACGTTTTCCTTAAAGAAATAATCATTCATTCACTGAAGGAAACTTAGGTTTATTCCATATCTTGGCTATTGTGAATAATGCTACAATGCCCATACTCTGGGTGTGTGTGTATAGATAGATGTGTGTGTGTGTGTGTGTGTGTGTATATATGTATACATATATATGTGTGTGTATATATATATATATGGATATGTACATAGACATGGGATTGCTGAATCATATGGTAGTTCTATTTATACATTTTTGAGGAGCTTCCATACTGTTTCCCATTGTGTCTATACTAATTTACATTCCTACCAACAGTATACAAGGGTTTCCTTTTCTCCACATCTTCATCAACACTTGTTAGCTTTCATCTTTTTTGTAATAGCCATTCTGACAGGTGTGAGATGATATCTCATTGTGGTTTTAATTTGCATTTCCCTAATGTTGAGCATTTTTTCTTAGACATATTGGCCATTTAAATGGAGAAATGTCCTTTGCCCATTTTTTAATTATTTGTTTTTTTGCTGTTGAGTTGCATGAGTCCCTTACATATTTTGAATATTAACCCCTTATCACGTACGGTTTGCATATATTTCTCCCACACCATGGCTTGTCTCTTCACTCTGTTAGATTGTTCCCCTTGCTGTGCAAAAGCCTTTTAGTTTGATACGATTTCATTTGTCTATTTTTGTTTGTGATATCTGTGCTTTCAAGGTCATATCTAAAAAATTATTGCCTGGACCAGTGTCATGGAGCTTTTCCCTCATGTTTTTTTCTGGTAGTTTTACAGTTTCAGGTCTTGTATTTAAATCTTTAATCCATTTTTAGTATATTTTTGTATGCATTGTGAAATAAGAATCCAATTCCATTCTTCTGTACGTGGATCTCCAGTTTTCCCATCACCATTTGTTGAAGAGACTTTTCCCCATTTTGTTTTCTTGTCACCTTTGTGAAAAATCAATTGGCCATAAATACATGGATTTATTTATGTCCTGTTCCATTGATCAGCATGTCTGTTTTTATGCCAGTTCATGCCGTTTTGATTTCAATTCCTTTAATATATTTTGAAATCAGGGAATGTGGTGCCCCCAGCTTTGTTCTTTTTACTTAAGATATTTTTGGCTTTTCAAGGGTTTTTTTTTTTTTAATGATTCTGTATGAATTTTAGGATAGTTTATTCTATTTCTGTGAAAAATGACACTGGAATTTTGATAGGAATTCTGTTGAATTTGTAGGTCATTTTGGGTAGCATGAATATTCCAACAATATTATTTCTTCCAATCATGAGCACAGGGTAGCCTTCCATTTATTTGTGTTTTCTTCAGTTTATTTTATCAGTGTTTCATAGTTTTTAGTATATACTAATAATATATGTATATATTTAGTAAATACTAATAATATATGTGTATTGTTCACCTCCTTGGTTAAATTTTCACTGAAGTATTTTACTTTGTTTTTTGTTGCTTGTTTTTCTTAATTTCTTTTGGGTAGTTTGTTGTGAGTGTATAGAAATGTTACTGATTTTTTATGTTGATTTTGTATCCTGCAACTTTACTGAGTTTATAAGCAAAACAGTTTTTTGGTGTTTAGGATTTTCTGTGTATAAAATCGTGTCAGCAAACAGACAATTTCATTTCTTCCTTTCTTATTATCTTCTATTTTTTTTCTCTTGCATAATTACTCTGGGTAAGAGTTCCAGTAATATGTTGAAAAGAAGTGGTGAGAGTGGGCCTTCTTACCTTACTCTTGATCTTAGAGGAAAAACTTTCAACTTTTCATCACTGAGTATGATGTTAACTATGGGTTTGTCATATATATGGCCTTTGTTGTGTTAAGGTACATTCCTTCTATACGGAATCTTTTGAGAGTTTTTTCATGAAAGAGTGTTGAAATGTATCAAGTGCATTTTCTGCATCTTTTGCGATGATCATATAGTTTTAAATTCTTCATTCTGTTAATGTGGTATATCACATTCATCGGTTTTATACGTTGAACCATCCTTGCATCTCAAATGTAAATCCCCTTTAATTGTGTTGAATAATTCTTTTAATTTATTGTTGAATTTGGTTTGCTAGTATTTTGTTGAGGGTTTTTTAAGTCTGTGTTCATCAGAGATATTGACCTGTAGTTTTCTTTTCTTGTAGTGTTCTTTTCTGGCTTTGTTATCAGAGTCATATTGGCCTTGAACAGTGTTTTCAAGTGTTCAACAAGAACACTTGGCCTTGTTCAGTGTTTTCTATGTAAAACAAGTTTGGAAAAATTCCCTGCACTTTGAATGTTTGGAAGAGTTTGAGAAGGGTTGGTATTCTCAATCCTTCTTTAAATGTTCTTTAAGTGTTGGTTAGAATTCAGCTATAAAGCTGTCTTGTCCTGGGCTTTTCTTTGGTGGGAGACTTTATTAAGAACACTTAATATCCTTACTCATTATTGGTCTGCTCAGACTTTCTATTCCTTCATGATTCAGGTTTGGTAAGTTGTGTCTGTATAGGAATTTATCCATTTCTTCTGGGTTATCTAATTTGTTGGTGTATAATTGCTCATAGTAACTTCTTATGATTCTTTGCATTGCTGTGTTATCAGTTGTAATATCTCCTTTTATTTCTGAT
Source organism: Homo sapiens (assembly GCF_000001405.40). Taxonomy (NCBI): domain Eukaryota; kingdom Metazoa; phylum Chordata; class Mammalia; order Primates; family Hominidae; genus Homo; species Homo sapiens. The sequence continues at coordinate 123,922,507 of NC_000003.12, read as the reverse complement.
TCATTTAAGTCTTCTCTCTCCTTCTCTTAGTCTAGCTAAGGGTTTGTCAATTTTGTTTATTTCTCCCAAAAAAACAAACTCAGTTTTGCTGAATTTTTCCTATTGTTTTTCTAGTCTCTATTTCATATATTTCTTGCTCTGATCTTTTGTGATTTCTTCCTTCTGCTAATTTTGGGCTTAATTTGTTCTCCTTTTCCTAGTTCCTTAAGATGTAATATTAGATTATTTGAGAGCTTTCTTTTTTGATATATGTTTATTGCTATAAATTTCCCTCTTAGAATTGCTTTTGCTGCATCCCATAAATGTTGTCATATTTTGTTTTCATTTTTGTTCGTCTCAAGGTATTATTTTATTACCCTTTTAATTTCTTCTTTGTCTCATTGGTTGTTCAGCAGCATGTTGCTTAATTTCCACGTTTGTGAATTTCCCAAAATTTCTCGTTATTGATTCCTAGTTTCATGCCGTTGGAATCGGAAGATGCTTGGTATGATTCTAGTCTCCTTAAATTTGTTAAGACTTATTTTGTGGTCTAACATGATCTATCCTGAAGAATGTTCTGTGTGCACAAGAGAAGAATGTGTACTCTGTTGCTGTAGGATGGAATGTTCTATATTATGTCTATGAGATCTATTTGGTCTAAACCAAGCTTGTCCAACTGATGGCCCCTGAGCCACATGCAGCCCAGGATGGGTTTGAATGTGGCTCAACACAAATTCATAAACTTTCTTAAAACATTATGAGATTTTTTTTTGACAAATTTTTAAGCTCATCAGCTGTCGTTAGTGTTAATGTATTTTATGTGTGGCCCAAGACAATTCTTCCAGTGTGGCCCAGGGAGGCCAAAAGCTTGGACACCCCTGGTCTAAAGTGTAATTTGAGACCAATGTTTCCTTATTGATTTTCTATCTAAAAGATCTGTACAGTGTTGAGAGCCGGGTACTGAAATCCCCCACTCAGTCTGTCTCTCCCTTCAGATCATTTAATAGTTGCTTTATTATTTAGTTGCTCCAATGTTGGGTGCATATATTCTTACAATTGCAGATTGATGCCTTTATCATTATATAGTGACCTTCTTTGCTTCTTTTTACAGTTTTTGACTTAAAGTCTGTTTTGTCTGATATGAGTATAGCTACCCCTGCTTTCTTCGTTTCCTTTCCTATGGAATATATTTTTCCATCTCTTCACTTTCCGTCTATGTGTGTGCTTTACCTTAGAGTGAGCCTCGTGTAAGCAGCATACAGTTTTTGATTCATTCACCCACTCTGTCTTTTGATTAGAGAATTTACTCTATTTACATTCAAGGTAATTGTTGATAGGCAAGGACTTGCTACTGCCATTTTGTAATTTATTTTGTAATTGTTTTGTAGATCCTTTTTTTCTCCCTCTGTTGCCTTCCTTTGTGGTTTGATGGTTTTCTGTAATGGTATGCTTTGAATCCTTTTCATGTTTTGTGCAAATTCTGTAGGTTTTTGCTTTGTGGTTACCCTGAGGTTTACATAAAACATCTTATACTTAGGCTATTTTAAGCTGATAATAACTTTAATCACATACAAAAACTACACTTTTACTCCCCTCTTACACATTTTATGATTTTGATTTCAAAATTTACATCTTTTTCTAATTTATATCCTGTAACTATAGTTGTTTTTAATAGTTTTGTCTTTTAACCCTCATATTAGGATAAAATCGCTTTACATACCACCATTAAGGTACTAGAGTATTCAGAATATGATTATGTGTTATACCATTGAGTTTTATAATTGCATGTGTTTCATGGTATTAATTAGTGATCTTTTACTTCAGCTTAAAGAACTTGTTTTAGCAATTCTTGTAAGATAGGCCTACTGAGGATGAACTCCCTTAGCATTTGTCTGGGAAAGTTTTTATTTCTCCCTCATTTCTGGACAGTTTTGCTGGATAAAGTATTCTTGGTTGACAGGTTGTTTTTGTTGAGAAGTCCACTGTTAGCCATATTGAGGCTCCCTAGTGTGTGATGTTTCTTATCTGTCACTGCTTTGAATTTTAACAGTTATCTTTGAATTTTAACAGTTCAGTTATGGTGTGTCTTGGTGAACTTCTCTTTGGGTTAAATTGGATTGGAGACCTCTGAGCGTCCTGTACCTGAATATTGGTGTCTTTCCCTAGATTTGGAGAATTTTCAGCCATTATTTTCCTAAATATGCTTTCTGGTCATTTTTCTCTCTCTTCTCCTTCAGGCACTCCTGTTTCTCAGATGGTATCTCATAATACCTGTAGGCTTTCTTCATTCTTTTTCATTCTTGATTTATTTCCTCTTCTGACTGGATAATTTTAAATGTCCTCTTTTCAGGCTCACTAATTCCTCTGCTTGATCAAGTATACTATTGAAGTATTTGATTGAATTTTTCAGTTTAGATACTGTGTTTTTTATCTCTAAGATATCTATTTGATTTTTAAAATTTGTTTCTATTTCTTTGTCAAACTTATTGTTTTGTTTGTTAATTATTTTCCAAATTTCATTTAATTTTTTATCTATATTTTCTTGTAGTTCCCTGAACATTTTAAAGAGAAGATTATTCTCAATTCTTTGTCTCTCATTTCTTTAGAGTCCATTATTGGTGCTTTATTTCTTTTAGTGGTGTCATTTTTCTGATTCTTCATAATCCTTGTATCCTTGCATTGGTGTCTATGCACTTGAAGAAGTGGCCACCTCTTCCAGTTTTGCAAGTGTTATGCCCTACCCCACCTCTCACTTGAGGTGAAGGGGATAGACCTTCACTATTTAGTCTAGCCTGGGATTCTGGATTGGCCATCTGGTAGTGACTATAGGCAGGCAGACCTTGCTGTTGGGTTCTCTAACTGGGCTGCTACCTGTGCTTTGAGGTCAGTGGAGCTATTGACTGTACTCCATGATCTTGTGAAACCAATGGCTGTGCTCCGTCAACCAGTGAGGCCACTGACTGGGTTCCAAGGTCAGGTGGAGCTGCCAGCTGGGCTCTGCAATCACCTTTGATTGGGCAGGGTTGCAGGCTGTATTCCCTGGCTGAGTGCTACTGCTGTTTAGAATCTAATTGGGCAGGGTTGCGGGCTGGGCTTCAGTGTTTCTGGGTTTGCTGCCCAGCCACTCGTGACAGGCAGGGCTGGAGATTCCTCCACAGTATGCAGTCACAGGTTTGCCTCCCTGCCTGGGCCTGGGCAAAACCTCAGGCTGGACTTCAAAGCTGAATGGAGTCACTGCTTAACTGCTAAGGTTGAGCAGGGCCAGTTAACTGTGTTCTGCAGATATGTAAGGATGCAGTTTTGCCTCCTGGCCTCAGGAAACTATATGTACAGCTGTGAAGTTAGGTAGGGACACTAAAGTCTGGCAGGGCCAGATGCCGACCTCCACAGATTTATGCTAATGTGCACTTGCCTCTGGGTCTGGGGAAGCCATAAGCAGAGTACTGAGGCTGCATGGGGTTACCGCTCGCCCTCTCAGTTCTTATGGGACCAGATGCTCTCTTCAACACTTAGGTGCCACCGCATACTTGCCTCCTGGCCTAGGAAAACTTTAAGCAGAGAATTGAGACTCTGCTTAAGGGTTGGGGAAGGCTTGGATGTGATAGTGGTAGGGACTCGGCCCTGGCACACCTGTCAACTGTGCTTTCTGCAAAGCAGTGCTATTGACTGGTCTCTCTGGTCTGATGCTTCCATTGGCAGGAGTGCAGAGTCATTGCCAAGATCTGTGCTGTAGCCGCTATGAGCTGTATCCCTCTTTTTTGTTTTCCGCTAACCCCAAGTGTTCTAGCCCTGTAGGAACAAATGGGGTAATACAGAAGTGGGCTTCCTGAGAAGCATCCCAGAATGCCAGGGAAGTTGAGTATTCACCTCCAGCTTTCTTTTTCTGTGGTAGAAACTGCAGGCCCAGGGGACTCCTCTCTGTGTGGTACTTAACTGGCTTGGAAAGGGGTGAAACTGTTCCTTTTAACCCTGTAATGCAGCTTTTCTCAGTTCTGTGATCCAAGAGAGTGTCTCAGCTCACTCCTGAGTTCTGGGATATTCATGAAGGTGTACTTGTCTGTGGATAGTAGCTAGTTCGATTTCTATGAGGGGGACCAGAGCCAGGAAACTCTTATTCCACCATCTTGCTGGAGATTTTTAAGACTTATTAAAAGAGATGTCACTCTCCTCATAACCTAGAAAGAGGCATTTTTTAAAAATAGAGATATTAGAAGAAATAGCAGGAGCCATTGCCATTTGAAGAACAATTAGAAGTCAAAATACAGTGTGTTTAAGAGGACAGTGTAAGCCAAGTTGGAAAAAATTTGTTTTTAGTTTTGTAGGAGAAAATAATTTATCCTATATACAGAGATATAATCACCACTGACTGTTTAGTATAGAGATTTCTTTTTAGCATTTTATGTTTATGTGTGTGACTACTTTTTAGAAAAATATTGAGTCTAGATTATTTATGGCCTGCTTTTCTTAATATAACCTTATGTAATGAACATTTTCCTATCAATAAATATGCTTTACAACATGACTATAATTAGGAGCTATGATGCAGTTATACCATAATTTACCTGAACCAGTTCACTTTTTTGAAGATAAAGATATATATGTCCATCTATCTTATATTATAACTAATATATTTATTAATATATCTTTGGGTACAACCTCTGTGTAGACCAGTAGGATATTTTTATAAGTATAAATTGGTGGGCCAAAGAGTGTGAGACACACAAAGTTTTAAGGCTTTTGAAATGTATTGGCAGTTTCCTCTCCAGAAGAGTTATACCACTGTACACTCCCACCAGTAGCACCTGCCTCTCCAGGCTTCTCTAACAGTGGGTATTATTCTTATTTTACTATGCTAATTTGATAAGCAAAAAAAAAATCATTTTTAAATTTTGAATTTATTTGATTAAAAGTTGAACTCTTAAAGCATGCTTATTGGCTAGTGGTATTTTTTTGTTAGTTACCTGTTGATGTCCTTTGTATCTTTGTTTAAATTGGTTTTTTGGGTTTTTTTGTTTTTTGTTTTTTTTTTTGGTTGAGATGGAGTTTCGCCCTGTTGCCCAGGCTGGAGTGCGGTGGAGTGATCTTGGCTTACTGCACCCTCTGCCTCCCGGGTTCAAGCAATTCTCATGCCTCAGCCTGCCGAGCAGCTGGGATCACAGGCGCACATCACCATGCCCAGCTAATTTTTGTATTTTTTAGTAGAGATGGGGTTTCACCATGTTGGCCAGGCTGGTCTCGAACTCCTGACCTCAGGTGATCTGCCTGCCACAGCCTCCCAAAGTGCTGGGATTACAGGCATGAGCCACCATGCCCAGCCCTCATTGATTTTTGAGACCATATATAATTCAATTTAAATAGACTAAAGTCTTAGTATAAAATGGCTTTAGGCTGGGCGTGGTGGCTCACGCCTGTAATTCCAGCACTTTGGGAGGCCGAGGCGGGTGGATCACGAGGTCAGGAGATCGAGACCATCCCGGCTAACACAGTGAAACCCCGTCGCTACTAAAAAATACAGAAAAATTAGCCCTGCGTGGTGGAGGGCACCTGTAGTCCCAGCTACTCAAGAGGCTGAGGCAGGAGAATGGCATGAACCCAGAAGGCAGAGCTTGCAGTGAGCTGAGATCATGCCCCACTGCACTCCAGCCTGGGTGATAGAGTGAGACTCCATCTCAAAAAAATAAAAAAATAAAAAATGGCCTTAATAGGACTACTAATAAAGGCTGCCATCAAACAAACAAACACCCACTTAGACTGAAACCGTGCTAAATACTTTATACCTTATTATTTTATCTTATTTAATCTTCATTGTAGTTCGGAAATATCTTCATTTTACAGCTGAGGAACTAGAGATTCAGAAAGGTTAAATGACTTGCCCAAGATCACAGCTAATGATGGCACTGGGATTTAATTCCATTTCTAACTTCAAACCTTCTGTGGTTTTCGTTATACACCTTTCTGGTACCTAGCTGTTGCTTATACCTATTATGCCAGATAATTATCTCTATCCTTTTTTTCTAGTATTGTGCCACACACACACACACACACACACACACACACACAAACACATATATAATGAAGGGAAATAATTCCTAGCAGAATCCATAACAAATGAATAGTGTGTTTCCCTTTGTATCTTAGCCTACCTTTGTGAGGCCAGTTTTTTACTCTGGGGCTCAATTTGTAGTGCTGCTCAAGAATGAACCTAGTGCTGCTCAAGAATAAACCATCTCGGCTGGGTATGGTGGCTTATACCTGTAATCCCAGAACTTTGGGAGGCTGAGGCGGGCAGATCACTTGAGGCCAGGAGTTTAAGACCAGCCTGGCCAACATGGTGAAACCCTGTCTCTACTAAAAATAGAAAAATTAGCCAGGCGTGGTGATGCGCACCTGTAATCCCAGCTACTCGGGAGGCTGAGGCAAGAGGATCACTTGAACCTGGGAGGCAGAAGTTTCAGTGAGCTGAGATCATTCCACTGTACTCGAGCCTGGGTGACAGAATGAGACTCTATCTCAATTAAAAAAAAAAAAAAAAGAGTAAAACATCTCCATACCTTAAAAAAAAATTCTGAGCCTCTATTTTTAGACATAGTGATAGATTCGATACAGACCAATGTATTTTATCATTGTTATTTTAATTATTATATGCTCTTGCCAAAGCACGTTCTGTGATTTTGTGCTTCTAGTTGCTTGTTTTCATATTAAGAACCAGACACTTCTCTCAAATCCTTTTTTTAAAGATGGAGGTATAGATAAGTGAATTAAAGAAACAGGTAAAAAATAATAATTAGTGTTCTGGATTCTTCTTAACAGAACTTTACAGACTAGCATGGCAAAGCTTCTCTCCGATCTTAGTGTGGACAGTGCTCGCTGCAAGCCTGGGAATAACCTTACCAAATCACTCTTGAACATTCATGATAAACAACTTCAACATGACCCAGCTCCTGCTCACACTTCCATAATGAGCTATCTAAATAAGTTAGAAACAAATTACAGTTTTACACATTCAGAGCCACTTTCTACAATTAAAAATGAGGAAACCATAGAGCCAGACAAAACCTATGAAAATGTTCTGTCCTCCAGAGGCCCTCAAAATAGTAACACTAGGGGCATGGAGGAAGCATCTGCACCTGGAATTATTTCTGCCCTTTCAAAACAGGATTCTGATGAAGGGAGTGAAACTATGGCTTTAATAGAAGATGAGCATAATTTGGATAATACAATTTACATTCCTTTTGCTAGAAGCACTCCTGAAAAGAAATCACCACTTTCTAAGAGACTATCCCCTCAGCCACAAATAAGAGCAGCTACAACACAGCTAGTCAGCAACAGCGGACTTGCTGTCTCTGGAAAAGAAAATAAACTGTGTACACCTGTAATCTGTTCCTCTTCAACAAAGGAAGCAGAAGATGCACCTGAAAAACTTTCCAGAGCATCTGATATGAAGGACACACAGCTCCTCAAGAAAATAAAGGAAGCAATTGGTAAGATCCCTGCTGCCACCAAGGAGCCAGAGGAACAAACTGCATGTCATGGCCCATCAGGTTGTCTTAGCAACAGCCTTCAAGTGAAAGGCAATACTGTCTGTGATGGTAGTGTTTTCACTTCTGACTTGATGTCTGACTGGAGCATCTCTTCGTTTTCAACGTTCACTTCTCGTGATGAACAAGACTTCAGAAATGGCCTTGCGGCATTAGATGCCAACATAGCTAGACTCCAGAAGTCTTTAAGGACTGGTCTTCTGGAGAAATGAATTCAGAAGAAAACTCATCAGGTGCTTCTTTTTAAAACTAGAACTTGGCTATATTGAATGTGTATTTTTCTTTAGTGAAATGATGTTTTATGTTATTATGTGTGAAGTAATATATTGTACAAGTAATAAATGTATTGTTGAGATATATTGACACTGAGGAGCTTATAAAAACAAGTCATCTTAAGTTCACAATTGCTACAAGAAGAAAGTTGTGGATAACTAGGAAATTATTGTAAGTAATGTTTTATTTCAGTACTTAGCAATTAGAGTTCTTTTATTAAGATGTATCTGCTGGATTAAGGGTACAGGTTGAAATAGTTCTGTGGCTGTCCTAAGAAATAATGGGAAAAGAATCTCTGGATGTAAGTTTTTCTGTTGAAACTAGAGGGTTTTTTTTTTCTGTTTACATATACTTTTTTTTAATAGCAATGTGTTTTTATTAAACATGCTGTGTGCCACAGGCCAGTGTTGTTGGTGAAATATATAAACATTTATTTAAAGAGAAAAGTTACCAGTATCTACACCTCTTAAAAAACATTGATTGGTCTAAAAAATATATAGATAACATCCTAAGTTAACATATGGCTTCTTAAAACTTGGGCACTTTTATTTGTTTTTATCCCAAATTCATGTTTTAAGGCCTTTAAAGAATAGTCAGACTGATAAAGAAGTGCTAACAGATAAGCTATAGTTGGGGAAATTTGTGGGTTTTTTTTAAATAAGAAATGTTTATTTTTGTCCTTATATTTAAACATGATGGAATTTGTAAATCTTGGCATTGATTGTAATTCTGCCTTTTTGGAAGAATTTTTTCTCCCAGCATGTTAGCTGAGAATATTCTCTATTTTATAAATAATATGAAGTAGGTTGGTCTCTCTGCTTCTCTATACCAGGACTTCTTAGCTCAGTATCATCTCCCTTCATGTAAGCAGCACGTTTTAACTCTTAGGAAGCTGAATGTTGTGTTATCACTAATACTTTGTACAGGTCACCTGCCTACTCTAATTGTCCTTAGTACTTGGACAGGCTTTATCATTAAAGAGTGTTCTCCTAATCCCAGAACCTCCTCGTGTTTTTTGTTTTTTTGGTGGTTTTTTTTTTTTTTTTAGGTGTTAGTGCTACAGCGTTTGAAGGAGCCAGCTGTAGTCTCTTTGATATGTTCAGATTTTCCAGATAGAGATTTAAGTCTAAAAATTTATTAAGTGAATTCTAAACTATTTCACACAAGAGTCCATTAGCATCTTTAATTTTATTTAGTATTCATGAATTAATTTATTGGCATCTTATTTGGAGGTAATAGGCCACAACTCTTTAACAAATAAGTTCAGAAATAAAAAATAATAAAAAAGGAAAAAAATTGTGTCATCTGTCTACTCCCAAATATTTAACTGTTATTCATATGCAAAAGTAAAATCTTAAGATTACCTGGTAATCCTATTTGGCCCTTAACATGGAACAGCCATCCTTATATGCAAAGGAAATTTTTAAACGCTTGTGTGTTCAATTAATTAGTGGCTAATAATTTGATCGAGAAACAAATGAGACTAGAAATTTCTTCAGGGACCTTCAGCAGAAGCTTAGTATTTGATAAAAGACATGCACATGACTTGAAATAGGAACATGCAATAATTTGGTTAAATTTCAAGATGGAATATGAACCTAGCAATAAGGATAGAATACATAGTGAGTTTTATAGAACTTTAGAACAGAAGGAAGCCAAGAGTAGAGGAGGACCTAGAAGAGAACTTCATTTGGATGAATACATAGGATTTGGGTAATCCTGTGAACAGCCTTAAATGTTTCCCCCTTAGAAAGTCAGTATCATCAAAATGTGGAGATTGGTTGAATTTGGTATATTAGGATGTACCGTGGTAGACCAACCTGACTGAAATAGAGGTGGGGAGGGGGTGGTAATAATAAATGAAGAAAACACAATTAGAAGATTTGGGTCAGTTGTGGAATGTCTTGAGCTCCAGGCTGAGGAGTATCCATTAAACATTAAGTCATTGGAGTATTTGGGGATCTGGTGGTGGTGTTTTTTGTTTTTTTGTTTTTTTTCAGTTGAGGATTACCAGGCGAAGTTGGGTATTCTTAAAATGTCATAGAGTGATAGTAAATAGGAAGGATTAGAGGAGGGAGAGACTGGAGACCATTTAGAAAGCTGTTGCAGTAGTTCAGACATAATCCTTTGGCAATAAAAGTGAAAAAGGAGAGGCAAATTGACGAAAATTTTTCAGTCAGCTGGGTGACCAAATAGGAACTACAGAGGATAGAAAAATCAAAGATGACTCCAAGGTTTTCAGTTTAATCAGTTTGAGACACACTGAGCGATGTCTAAAATGAAAAGTCAAGTTCTTAGTTAAGTTCGAAGTTGTCTTCATTAGAATAAAAAGGCGAGGAGAGTCCATTCTCAGTCGTCGTCTTTAGATCATCTCAGCAGGAGTCAGCATTACTGCCTCATCGTAGTCTCAGAAGGGTCAGGCTGGTCCCAGATCCCAGCCCTCTCAGCCCTTTCAGATGTCCCAGAGTGCAAAAAGCGTATTAGTAGATGTCCAGAGTATCCCTAACCTCTGACACACTGAAATTCGTGTCTCCAGATAAGTATTGAGCATGGAGTGAGAACCATCCTCTAGCATTTTGTCACTATTTTACGGTCTTTGATCTGTGGAGGTAATATACAACCCTTTACAATGAATTTAGTAGTTGTGAACACCATTGAAGATAAAAGGTAGAATCTGATGATATTGGACCAAGTGTAGAGATCCTAGGGGCAGGGCTAAAGAACCAAAGAAGTACTTACCACATGTTCTTCCCTTATTCCCACCACCCCTGGAGTTTAGTAAATCTTTCAGAAACCTTTATTTTCACTGATGGTGGCATTTTACTTGTCAAGTGCCTTAAAAGTGATAAAGGCCTGCTCCAACTACATGGAAAGTAGGGCAGCATTGTAAAACCTGCTTAGGTAAAAAGGGCATGCAGCTTCATCACAGCTGACCAGGTAGGTAACTAGTGCTCACATTCCCTCAGCTAAAGATTCATTCACTCAGTGAATGAAATGAAAGCTCTAATATGTGCCAGTTACTATTATAGGCTCTGAGAAGACAGCAATAAACAGGACAGACATTCTGTCCTTAAAGAGCTTATGATACAGTGGGACACAAGCAAAGGAACATATAGTCAGTTCTGTGAAGAAAAATAAAGCAGGGTAAGGGAAAAAAGAGTGATAACGTTGGCTTAAGTTTTAATTACTAGGATAACAGGCCCCTTCTCAAAAATAATGTTTAAGGGTCCAGAATTTAAGCAACCACTAGGGAAAGTTGGGTTTGATTTGTAAGTTAACACTCCCTTAATCATTTTTCCAATGTTAGTTCTAGATTTCCTTTTGCTCCGAATTGCTTAAACATGTGGGTTCTAAGACTATAGCATACCTTAACACACACAATTCAAAGCCCCTTAACTTTTCTGGATGTATTAATATTACCACTTGTAGAGAACCGGGCACTATTTTATTTAAAGCTGTTGTCTTGAGCTAACCCTCCCATAGAATTACCAGAGATGATAAGATCTTAGACTTCTGAAGGGTTTAAAAGTTAACTTTTTGAAAGGACTATAGAAATAATCTCACTGTTATACCCAAAGAAAAGAACTGTTCTACAGTGATACTACTGGATACCTACTACTGGAAGATTCCAAGCACACCAGGGGTATTCCTTTTACCTGGACGGCCTTTTGCCCAAGCTCCTCCTGACAAATTTTTATTTATTCTTGAAATCCACAGTACTACTTCTGTACCTTGCAGATATTTCTAGTGATGTCTTTATCAGTTTACGTATCTGTCTTTCCTACCCTCTACTCTTCTTGAGGATAGGGACCAGGATTGATTCATTTTCAACTGCCCTCATGACCCTTGGTGACTATCATATAGTTTGTACTTAATAACTATTGTTGGACCTAACTAAATCTCTGCAGATGATCACCTAGGCATAACTTGATTTTCTGTTGGTGTTAAGTTCATGAAACAGCTTGTTAATAGTTTTATTACACACATCTAAGTTCCTAGCATTAGCCTCCCTGTGCCTTTTATTCTTCATTCAGTTACTGACTTCTGAAACCAAATTCACTTACTGGCAAACATTTGCACACTTCTGCTTGTGCTGTGGAGAAGCCACAGATTCTTAAATATTTAGGACAGAAACTTTTTTTTTAACCATGACACTAATGCAGAGTAATCTATCCCACCAGCCTGCCTCACCAGTTTTTGGGAGGGATGAACGTAAGCAAAGCACTGGAAAACTGCAGGGCACTGTACAGTCTGTGACTTATGACAATATTTAAAGAGTCCTCACCATCTTGCTTGCCCTCTTCTGATGTCCACCGGTTTGTCAGTGAGTCCCTTAAAATGTAAATCCAGCAATGAACTTCAGATGTGATCTGATCCAGGCGGACGACCATTAGATTGTCATTTTCTATAATCTTATAGTAGTTTTAAAATGGACAAAGGTTGAGTTGGCTATCTTAGCCATCACGCTGCAGATCATATTAGGGCTGTAGTTAGTTTCCCAATAATATTCACATTGTCATTCTTGGTGTTGAGTGGCACCATGTTAGGGCAGCTGGGGCAGGAAGTCATGGGTGGCCATTTTCATCTAGCTAGACATGAGCATTTCCTCGAAGACTAAGGTTCTAACTAGATAAGTGGTCTCAGCTGCTTCTAAAGGAAGAGCTCAAGTTTACCACAAACTCTCAGTGCTTGTTCTCCTTGAAGCCAGGTCTGCTTTTAGAGGCCATGAATAATGAAATATGAAAATTATCATGTGGAAACTGAAATCAGACATATTTAAAGATACTTGCTTAAGGCCGCACACCTAACACCTTAACCAGATGTTGTGATTCTCAGTTGCCTTTCTTCATTATGTTGTCTTCCTGATGACAGCTCAGTCTCATGACCACTGGAAACTTTAGGGCTCCAAATCTGTCACCAGAACCTAGCTCTGTGCCATTCTCTCTCTACTAGCATGGTCTAATAATAAGGAATTCCCTTTGGGATTTGTTCTGAGGATTAAATAAAATCACATGTGAAAATGTTTTGCAAACTACAAACACTAAGTGGATGATAATGATTACTAATTACATGTAGTTGGTCTATGTGTATGTATGTGTGTGTACTATAATAGACACTTAAGTTCTTACTTTTGCTTTATTAAAGGCACACAGTGTTCTTAAAATCTGTTTAGCATGTGACATAATGCTAGTAAAACAATTTCCCCACCTGTCACTTGGCCATTTCCACCAAAGTCATTACTAAAACTTGTTTTAAAGTAGACGGGTTTTTCTCCCATCGACACTGGCATTCAAAGTGAGCTCTGACATTTCCAGGACCCCAGCATTATCTTCTGCTCAGCCCAAGGGTAAGAGGGCTCATTTCTCCACAGAAATCTCAAGAAGACATGGAGAAGAACACCAACTATCCAAGAGGAAAACTCAGTCCCTTTTGGAGCAAGAGACTTACACGTTTGTTCAAATCTATAACAAGAAATGTTGTCAGCCGCTCAGTAGGGAGCACACGGCCAAGGTACATATTTTCATCCCACCATCCTTTCCAGATTATTTTGCACTTGGCTGTGATCTCTAGGCCCAGAGTGGGGTAAGAGACCAGATTCAAATATTTTAAAAGTAAGGAGCTCCAAAACAAGCAGAACAGACCTTCTTGGAGGGTAGTAGTTTGTTTGACGTTTGGCAAGAAGAAAGTAGTAAAGGAAAAATAATTTTCAAACCTAGAGCCTCAATGGATTAAGAGAAAATTAATCTTTCTTTTTTTTAGGTCAGTCAATATGATTAGACTTGCCATCTTAGGATAGGGTGATGGAGCAATTGAAGATGAGACAAAAACTAGAGCAAATCAGTAAATCACATTTGAAAAAATAGGTCTTCACAATTCGGAGCAGTGAACTATATTCTAACATCACCCCTCCCCAACACAAAGCTTGTGATCATTGTTTCACTAGAGACTCAGTCCACCATCACTACCTCTCCCCTCCCCATATCCCAACCAGTCTACAAATCTGTCTGGTCAGATTTTAAAAATAATGGATGACAAAACACTTAAAGCAACTTCTCTCAACTCCTAACATACCCAGAAAGGGTATGAGAATTTAAATTATAGTTTTGTATTATATCTTTGGCCAAAATTTGAGGAAATGCCATGGTATATTATTGATTAATATAAAACACTTAAACAGGCAATGATATTTTAAGTTGGTGGGAAAATTCACTTGAATAACATGGTGCATTAGAAGAGCAGGAGCAGTGGATCAAGAGTCAGGTGACCTAGTGATTCTGTCTTTATGTGTTATGTGACCTTCATTCATTTACAATTTATTGCTGTCTGCCGTGTACTACATACTGAGCATTTAAAGACAAATAAGACAGTGTGCCTTTGAAGGGCCTAGAGCCCCAGTGCCTCCCAAATGAGGAGATACGATCTCAAAGACTCATTCCAGCTCAAAGGGCTAAATTTTCCAAGAGGAAAGATCGCAACACCAAAGGAACTAGCCACGTGGCTTTGGTATGTCCTCCTACCACGTTGGTATCTTACAGAATTTTAGCTTTGGGTTGCTCTTTCTTTTTTACCTTCTTTCCTTCTTTCTTTCATACTAATATCATGGGTGCTCTCCATATTTATTTTTCTTCTTATTTTAATTTCGAAGAGTGTCTTTATATGGTAACTCTGAGGACTTGAACATTTTTCTTTTACCCTCACATTTAAATTAAATAATTTACACTGGTTCTTAATGTGAAGATGGTAATGTAAAGTGGCCCCTTTTCCCCCTTTTGCAGAAACTAAGAAGAGTACAACTCCACCTGCAGGGGAAACAAGGAGAGAGCTCTAAAACCAAACTGCAAAATAGCTAGAAGGACTGAAAAAGCAGGAGTTATCAAGCAGGAGTGCATAGGAGAGGAAACAGTGGATGCTAAGACTCCAGATAGCAGAAAAGGCTAGCAGACTAAATTTCTCGAAGAAGAATGGTTTACCCAGAGGTGAAAAGGGTTTTTTTTTTTATTATATTTTTTTTATTGATGAGGTCTCGCTCTGTCGCCCAGGCTGGAGTGCAGTGACATGATCAAAGCTCACTGTAACCTCAAACTCCTGGGTTCAAGGCATCCTCCTGAATAGCTGAGATTACAAGAGTGTACAACCACGCCCACCTAATTTTTTTGATTTTTTTTTTTTTGTGTGGAGACAGGGTTTCACCATCTTTCCCAGGCTGGTTTTGAACTCCTGGGCTCAAGCAATCCTCATGCCTTGGCCTCCCAATGTGCTGGGATCTCAGGTGTGAGCTACCATGCCCAGCCAGGAAAAGTTTTAAATCCTTAGTTTGTAACAATGGGGAGAGGATCCATGGGCTTTACATAGATTGTGTGTTTAGAGACAGAGAGCATAGGTGCCTATTCCCAAGTGGAAGAATGAACACCAAACAAATTAATGCATAAAACTCTAAATATTAAGGAAAATTCCAGTCCTCCTTACAAGCTTGCTGCAAATAGCTGATCTAAGAAAACTTTCCTTAACTGCTTCAAAAAAAGAGTCATCAAGAAAGATCAGCAGAGGATCTATACTAAAATATTTTTAGGAAATAGGGGAAATAAATAGGAAAATATGACTGTAAACTAAAACCACTTATCAGGAAAACATTGCCATCAAGTAGACAAAAGTTTGTGACTAAGTGTTTGGTCATGAATGTTTATAACTGAATGGAACAGCTATTTATTGAAACCAAGAGCACTGAGCAGAGAAGCAAGAGTCCAGGGCCAAGATGATCTGATAACAGGAGGAGATGAAGCAGGAGTTGGCAGAACTTAGGGAAAAGATGGAAGGACACATTACACCATCTCAGAAATGAAGGCAAAATTGAAAGCAAGTCAAGGTAAAATAGATTAAACATAATAGTTTTGATACAAAATTATAGGTTCAAACTTGTCCTCCCTTCAGCACTTTACTTACTACACTATTGCCTCCCAGCTCTAAGCATGGCTTCTAAGAAATGTGTCATGGAGCAGATCCTTGTTGCTTTGTAGGTGACATAATTTTCCCCTCTAGAAAGCTGTAGAATTTTCTCTGGCTTTGATCATCTTAAATTTCACTCTAATGGGTATGGGAGGTTTTGATCTTTAATGTCACCTGTTAATGCTCTGTGAGCTGCTTAAATCAGTGGTCTTGCATATTTTTCTAATTCTGGAAAACTTCAGTCATTATTTCTTTAAATATTTCCTCCTACTACTTTCTTTTTCTCTCTCCTATGATTTCTATTACACTTCCATTTGAAACTTTCATGTCTCCTTTTTTTTTTCATTTCTTTGTCTATTCTTAACTCTTCTAGAGGAAGTTTCCTGATGTGATCTTTCTTTTTTATTTATTTATTTATTTATTTATTTTAATTTTTTATTTTTGGAGATGGAGTCTCGCTCTGTCGCCCAGGCTGGAGTGCAGTGGCGCGATCTCGGCTCACTGCAAACTCCGCCTCCCGTGTTCACGCCATTCTCCTGCCTCAGCCTACCAAGTAGTTGGGACTACAGGTGCCCACCACCACGCCTGGCTAATTTTTTTGTGTTTTTAGTAGAGATGGGGTTTCACCGTGTTAGCCAGGATGGTCTCGATCTCCTGACCTCATGATCCACCCGCCTTGGCCTCCCAAAGTGCTGGGATTACAGGCGTGAGCACTGCGCCCGGCCTGATGTGATCTTTCATCTCATTCATTGGTTTTTCAGCTATCCCTATTCTGCAGATAAATTCATGTGTTGAGTTCTTAATTTCAACTGTTATATTATTCATACAGTATTTTTTTATAATTGCTTGTTCCTGCTTCATATTTCCAATACTCTCCCTTATCTTGTTAAATGTGTTTATTATGTGTATTTTAAATTCAGGCCTCTCTGGTCCATTGTTTCTGATACCTTTAGCATGGACTGTTAAGCCTGTGCACGTAGTTTATATCATTATTTTCCCCTGTGAGCTTACATTACCTTGGGGAGTATCAGCTACCTGGACAGATAATGTATACCTGGAAGGGAGACTGAAATCCAGAATCCAACTGAGACCCTTCTGATGAGTTATTGAGTGTATGTGATGTGAGGTGGTGGTTGTAGTGATAGGAAATACTCCTTAGAGTGTTGACCTCTGTTACTTCAGTCTGGGTTTGATCATTCCCTGTTTCCTGTATCTTTTTTTTTCCTGAGCTCTACTCATTTTTCAAGAGCTTCCTCCCATAGGATTGGGACAGGGATTAGGCCTGCTCAGGAGTCAAGACATTCTTCTGCACCTGTTGTTAGCCGCTCTTCAAGCCCTGCCGTAAGGCAACTCAAATACTCAGTGTCACTGGCCTAAGTACTGCTCTTCTGCCCCCCAGAAGTGAGAGGTGAGCAATGACTCACTCAGAACAATGTGCGGGGAGAAGAAAAATGAAGGGAGAATGATGTCCCCCAGCCCACCTTCTGCCTGGCCACCTTCTATTTTAGGCTGACATTTCCTATATACCCACTGGTAACCAATCACTTCCTGTCTCCCCAAAGGTTTCTCAGTAGTTTTATGGTATATTCTGTTATCCATTATTAACTTGTCTGTCACTTCTGTAACATTACCATGGTGGGTTCTGAAAGACTAGCAACCCAGGTTCATTTGCCATCTTGTGCTCCCCACTAATGTGTAATGTTACCTCTGTGTCACTCTTCCAGTTCCCCTTTATCTGTGGGTCTGTTTATTCTCTCTCTCTCTCATCTGTTTTACCTGTCTCTGTGCAATACCATACTTTTAATTATTGCAGATTTATAATGTCTTCATATCAGGTAAAATGATCCTTTCTCCCCCCATTCATCTGCAAAATTGTCTTTGTCTATGCTTGGGCCTTTACTCTTCTGTGTGAAGGACCAGTTGATCAAATTCTGTGACAAATTCTCTTGAGATTTTATTAGAATTGCGTAGAATTTATAGGTTAACTTGGAGAATTGCCATTTTTATTATATTGAAACCTCCAACTCATTAATATTGTATAACACTCCATTTACTTACTCCATAAAAATCTTGTTAAACTTTTATAGAATTTATTCCTAAGTACCTTATAGCTTTTGTTACAGTTGCACATCCCAGGGTTTTTTTTTTTTTCTTTTTTTCCACAATGAAAAGACCTTTAGTTTGTTCCTAATCACATAAAAGTAAATCCCACCTGAAATCCCACCATCATGAGATTAACGAGTTGGTTATCCTTTTAAGCATTCTTTATACATACACATAAAAATACACAAGTAATTCTATATATATAGGATCATATCATGCTTGCTATTTTTTTCATCAACACCTTCTCTCACCACCTTCTCTCCTCATACTAGTCCCTTTCCCACACCCTAGCCACACACCTGTAACCTATCTTCATAACCTAATGGGTGATTGTCAGTGTTTTCTCCATGCTCATGAAGTCATATAGGTCCATGATTTATATAGACCTCAGAGATAGCTGGTCGTTGTTTCACAAAAATGGGATCATATGTAACTTTTCTGTATTTTGATTTTCTGACTTAGAAGTACCTTAGGGAAATCCCTCTAGATGACTAAGAAGTCATCTAGTATGGATCTAATTTATTCTCTTCAATGGCTAGTTAGTATTCCATGATATGGAATTATTATATAATGCGTAATTCATTCAACCATTTTGTTCAGTTATACATAACAGAAAATAGCTATTTTAAGTAGAAAGAGATTTAACGTAGGGAATTTGGGACTTACAAAATAACTGGAGGTGCCGAAGTAGCAGGCTCTAGGCTGGGCCTCAAAGAATCATGCCCACAACAGTCCTACAGACCCTTCTCTCCAAGAGAACTGCTGTCTCTGTCACATTCCAGAAGCTGCTGTTCCAGCTGCTGGCTTCAGAATCACACTACCTTAGCTGCAACTTGAGGATCAGGAGGCTACCATGGGAACTTTTTACTCCGGACCTACATTTTGTCTGTCAGATCTACACTAGCGCATCTGGAAAGATTAAATCACAATCTAAAGTCCTAGCTTTGAGGGAGAGTTGGAAATATGTCTTTAGCTTTCCAGCCTCTGCAAAATAAAAAGACACACAAGAAAGGGGTTAACTAAACAGAGAGTGGGCCAGTCTACCAAATCTATTGCTGTGAGCATTCACTTTGTTTCCAGTTTGGGGTCTTCTATGAACACTGTCACACAATTGCCATATGACCTCATGTGTGTGTCTACTGCTATTTCTAAGGAATAGAGTCCCAGGAGTAGAACTGCTGAGCCAAAAGATATACTCATTTTGAAAAACAGATCTTGCCAAATTGCCTTCTAAAGAGGTTGTAACACTTTACACTTCTGCTATAAATGTGTGAAAATTTCCTTCATAGATACCACCAGCAATAAGCAATAGATGCTGTGGCTTGTCGTGTGTGTGTGTGTGTGTGTGTGTGTGTGTGTGTGTGTGTGTGTGTTTGAAAAATAATACTTTTTATTATGGAGAATTTCAAGCATGCACAAAAAAGGCAAATAGCCTAGTGAACTTCTGTGTGTCCATCAGCCAGCCCAATAACCATGGCCAAACCTGCCCCATCCAATTCCTTCTGTTTCATTTTGTTTTAAAGCAAGTTCCTGATGCCTTATTATCTCATCCATAAATATAAGTATAAATGTATTTCTAAAACACAGGAACAGAAAACCAAACACCGCATGTTCTCACTCATAAGTGGGAGTTGAATGATGAGAAGACATAGACACAGGGAGGGAAACATCACACACTGGGGCCTGTCGGTGGGTGGAGGACAAGGGGAGGGAGAGTATTAGGACAAATACCTAATGCATGTGGGCCTAAAACCTAGATGATGGGTTGATAGGTGCAGCAAACCACCATGGCACATGTATACCTATGTAACAAACCTGCATGTTCAGCACATGTATCCCAGAACTTACAGTAAAAAAATTTTTTAAAAAGATAAGCACAATATTATCATATCTAAAAAAATTAACAATAATTATTCATTAAATAGTTAGCTAGTATTTACATCTTACTTGAGGTACACAAATAAAGGTACACAAGTTGCAATTGATTAGTCTTTTATGTCTCTTTTAACAAATTGTCTCCCCTGCCATATTCTTTTTCCTCCATACAATTTATTTGTTGAAGGAACCAAGTTTTTGGTGCTGTAAAGCTTCCCACAGTCTGAATTTTGCAAGTTGCATTTCTATGTTTTGGTGGAAGATTTTCCTCATCCTTATTGCCTGTGAATTGTTAATGGAATCTAAAAGCTTGATCAGATTCAGGTTTGATTTTTATGGCAAGAAGAATTCAAAGGCAGTGATTGTTTCTCCATCAGGAGTCACATAATGTTTGGTTGTCTCCCTCTTCGTGATGTTGGTTAGCAACCATTGATGCTCAGTACCCAGATCTATTTGTTCATTAGGATTGCAGAATGGTGACAGTCTAAATCTACTCTTTTTCATTTATGAGGTGTACTGTCTATAGAGAAAAACTTTCTCACCTCTGCTGTTTGGTTACCCAATGGTATAGTTCATATAAATAAGGCAACATAAGTGCTTGATTCTTTCCCATTATCTACCAGTTTTCAAAATAATGAAATGGTTCCTTAGCATCCTTTAATGATGACTGGTTTTTTTAGTATCATTATGAAGTAATGGATTAAACTTCTTTGATGT
This sequence comes from Homo sapiens, assembly GCF_000001405.40. NCBI lineage: Eukaryota > Metazoa > Chordata > Mammalia > Primates > Hominidae > Homo > Homo sapiens. The sequence goes on along the minus strand of NC_000003.12, from coordinate 123,902,078 downwards.
GTTTGAATCCATTGCAGTTATGATTTTCTTTGATACTTACATTGTCCCATGTTTGATCTTTGGAAGCTTTACTATGTCTGTTATTATGTTTGCCAGTGTGATGGGTGTTAAGTGATTTTTTTTGTTACTTTTATTTTTATTTCTCTGATTTCTAGTGAACTTGAATCATATTCATATGTTTGTTGGGCCTTTTGATACTACTCATTAGTAAGTTGTTTGTATCCTTTGCACAATTTTCTAATCAGTTCTGTCAGTTTTTAGTCACCATCTTATCAGTTTTTAAGGGTGCTTTGTATAGAAAGTGATCCTTTGTATGAATATAGTAGCACAAAGATTTTTTCAGACACATTGACTGCTATTAACTTTGTTTATAGTACTATTTGCCATACCAAAAAAGTGATTTATAAATGGCTGAGTATGCCTACCTTTTATTTTATAGTTCTTGGTAAGGAAAGTCTCCTCTAACCATAGTGTGTACATATAATCTCCTAGATATTTTTCTTCAACTTAAAATTTTTTTTACATTTAAATGCTTAATATATTTGTATTTATATTTTAATGTAGTGTAAGATGGCAGTTCAACACTTTTCTTTCAAGTGAGTAGCCAGTTATGTCTGCATAGTAAAAAAAAAAGTTCAACTTTTTTCCCATTGAACTACCACTCTGTAATACATTTAAATAATAACTACAATGTAATCATTAATTATTTATTCTGTTCCAGAAATATATTTTGTATTCTTGCTAATGCTATATTGAATTGAATTTATAAGTGTTATAGTATCACTGATATCTTAATAAGCCCCCCTGTGTACTCTGTCTTCTTTTTTTTTTTATTTTTTTATTTTTGAGATGGAGCTTCTCTCTTGTTGCCCAGGTTGGAGTGCAATGGCATGATCTCAGCTCACCACAACCTCCACCTCCTGGGTTCAAGTGATTCTCCTGCCTCAGCCTCCCAAGTAGCTGGGACTACAGGCTCTTGCTTCCATGCCCGGCTAATTTTTGTATTTTTAGTAGAGACAGGGCTTCACCGTGTTAGCCAGGATGGTCTCGATCTCCTGACCTCACGATCTGCCTGCCTTAGCCTCCCAAAGTGCTGGAATTACAGGCGTGAGCCACTGCGCCTGGCCTACTCTGTCTTCTTATATTTTTTATAGTTTTACTAGCTATTCTTTGGCATTCTTTCTTTATATAAACTTTAGAATCATTTTATCTAATTCCAATAAAAACTCTGTTGAAATTCTAATTGGAACTACATTAAATTAATATATTAAAATTTCTAGAATTAACAGTTTTATATTAAGTATTCTCTTCCAGGAACATGATATGACTTTAAATCTATTCAAATACTTTGTGTCTTTTAATAGTTTTTCCACAATTAAAAAAATATAAGCCTAGAGTTGATCTTGTTAAATGTATAAGTATTTAAAACTTTTGGCACTATCTTAATCTGAATAGATTTTTATTAGCAACATGAATTATTATGTAAACATAAGAAAGAACTTTCCCGATAGAACGTCCAGTCGCTGGAATTCGTAACTGAGTTGAAGGCTCCCTCTCACATTACCAGGAAGGAAAAGTGGATATACACCTTTCTAAGACTGTTCAGTTATGGTCTTGCTGAGAGATAGGGGGAAGGACCAGAGGAGTCCTGGAAGACCTACTCAGAAAAGGAATCTGGAATGTTGCTGTTTTAGGCAGCCTCCTAATGTCAGGCTTCTGTTCATGTGAGGGCTCTTGACTTAATTAGCCAGTTTTTCCAGTGGGTACATGGGTGTGTGGGAGACCGTTATAAAACATGCTGGGATAATTCAGAACAAAAAATTCCCAAAGTATTTCTTCTTTTTTCTTTCTCTCTTAAAAATTCTACCTTGTTCTTATGATGTTGTTTGGTTGTTTTGTTTTTGCAATTAATAGCTTTTTATTTCCACAGATAAGTAATGCAATAAATGTATTTATTAACCCACATTGTGTCAAGCTCTCCATTTATTGCTTGGATATATAGAAAAAGCCAGACCTAGTCCTTGTCCTCAAAGGCTTGCAGTCTATTTGAGGATACACAAATGGATTACTCAGTATGAGGCACATGTTATTGGAGCACAGAGGAGAGACATCTTAATCAAACTGGTGAGGTTCGGTCAGTTTCACAGATAAGGGATCATTCAAGCTTGGAAAAGACTAATGAGCCCTGAACTACCATGGCATGTTCAGAAAATAGTGAGGTGCTCCCATGGCTGGAGTTGACATTACGATGAGTAGCTACAGAAGAACCCAGAAAAAAGATCAGGAGTTTGGTCAGCTACAGACGTTTACAGAGGAGACTTCGTTAACAGATTTATGTTGAAGAAAATCATTCTATTAGTGTGGATTAGAGGGACAAGACTGATGACAGGAAGCCCAGTTGGAAGGCTGCCACAATAGCCTAAGGGACAGGTAAGGCAAGTGGTAGTGAGAACTGGGGAGGAGAGGAATTTGCCATCTGCATAGGTAGGAAATCCCATGGGCAACTGATGAGGCAAAGGGAATGCAGAAAGACCCAGGTTTCTGGCCAGGACTGCTGGATGGGTGTCAGTGTCATTAACCTGGGAGCCAGGAGGCTGGGCAGGTTTCCCGGGGACGAGGGGAAGAGGGCAATACTGGACATGAATTCCAGGTGAAGTCCAAAAGCTGGGTACTCAGAAGAAATAGACTAGAGATTTACATTTGGGGATCACTGGTGGTATCTGAAACCATGTGAGGGCATGAGATGAGTTAGGAAGCATGCAGAGCTAGGGTGGAGTACTCAAGGCTTAGTTCATGTTCTCATATACCAACAGCAGTTATCAAGGACAACTTAAGCTAGCAGATGAATACTTTCTACAACAGAACTAAGAACCTCTGATAAGTTTTTAATTCAGAAGCTAAACCGATTAAACAATAAACATCTTAAAGTCAGAAAAGCTAATAAATAAGCTCTTTCCATTTATACTTCTACTCAAGTACTACTTGTTAAAATAACTTCTGACTTTGTTAATAAACAATTATAAACATGAATGCAAAAAACTAGGTGAAAATGTACTGTTGTCCTGGCATGGTGGATCAGGCCTGTAATCCCAGCACTTTGGGAGGCCAAGGAGGGCAGATCACTTGAGGTCACGAGTTTGAGACCAGACTGACCAACATGAGGAAACCCAATCTCTACCAAAAAAAAAAAAAAACAACCAAACAAACAAAAAAACCTACAAAAATTAGCAGGGCATTGTGGCAGGCACCTGTAATCGCAGCTACTCAGGAGGCCGAGGCATGAGAATCGCTTGAACCCAGGAGGTGGAGGCTACAGTGAGCCAAGATTGTGCCGCTGCACTCTAGTCTGGGTGACAGAGCAAGACCCTGTCTCAAAGAAAAAGAAAACGTACTGGGATATTCACAAGTGCTGGATTCAAACTTAAGTTTTTCACTTCACACCTGTTTAGGATTCATCAGGTGTAGATAATCCGGACCACCATCTCAATCCTCCACTCACCTATAAGTTCCCTTGGATTGCACCACCTCTCCAGCTGCCACTCATCATGTCTGCCTTGGCTGGGACCATGGGTCACAGCTCACAGTCTCTCCAACCTGGCACTGAATGAAGACTGCACAGATAGAGGTTACCAAAAAAGAGGCAATGCAGAATAATGGAAAGAATTTTAGCCTACCAGGGGCCAGAGAACTGAGTTTGGCATGGCACGATTAAGTAATTGGTACTCCACAGAAAAGTACTCACCATTTGTGGAACAATTATTCTGTGTCAAACACTCTGCTGATATGCTTTGCAATGTGCGCTCTTGTGCAACCCTCACAACAACCTTATGAAGTGGATGGGGTTTATTTATCGCACTTGTATCTGTTTTTTAACAATTAGGAAATTCGGGTCCAGAAGAAATTAAGTCACTTGTGCAAGGTCACATAGCTAGTTAATAAGAAAGCTTCAGTGACTCAGATGTTCACACTAAACTATAGTCCCTCCACACAATTTGAGGTAGAAATGCACTACTTATCCTCTACCTTCTGCTTTGTCTTTTGCAAAACAAGGGATTTTTCATAGATGATATCATTTGGCTATAGATTCTCATTATGTAGGAAATTGAGTTTATAGGCTTTGTATACATCAGAGGTCTTACATATAAAATATCTCCAGATTTACTTTATACAGTAGATAGATTTCTCAGCCATGATTTGCATGTGCTCATTCTGTCTGTAAACATGGCCTTTGATGTGCTGGGTTTTCAGATCCCTTCCCTCCCCTCTGCCCAGATCACCTATTGTTTCTAAGATAAACTTCTACAGTGTTTTTAGAATGGAGGTATAGGGCTCTTGAGGGTAGCAAACGGAGAACCTATAGGTTTATAAAAGTAGAATATGAAGGAAGGATGACAGATAGAATGTAAAATAATAGAATGTAATCCCAAGTTTATATTTATTTATGTTGTCATTTCTATTCTTTCAGACTTTTTAAAACTGTGGACTTAAATGTTCTGCAAAGTCTTACACAAAAGCCCAATACAGTACATGAACTACGGAAAAGCAGAACTGCTCTGAACAAGGAAGAGGTGGGAGATCTGAGTCCTGGCCCCAGCACCCACTTCAACTTCAGTCACCTCCTTGGAATCTGGGGTTCTGCAGCTTGAAATAATCAGTTTGGATTTTAAACTTATTTGTAACATAATAATAATCCTAGGAACTTTAAAATAATATTTTGTACTAAATTTTAGAATTATTATAATAAGTGATCTAATAAAACAGTCTTTTCCTGAAAGATGCCCAGTAAATTCTCAATCAAAGTTACTTAGGGGATTACAGGGTGTGGCTGTGAGGAAGATGATAGATACATTTTATTTTCTACCTTCTATAATGTTTGTTTTCTTTCCCTTTTTCTTGCAATTAACATTTATATTTTTATGGTTAAAATATTAATTTAAACTTTTTTCAGATTTTGGAATTACATTCTCATTAATGGCTTTGTAACAAGAGAGACTCAGGTTGAAATCCCAATGCCATCACTTACCAGTTGTATGATTTTATCTCCTCTTAAATGCAGGTGGGAGGTGGGGAGTAATTATAGAATTTTGGGGTGCTGATCTAAAGTGATAACAATTGTAAAGACTTAGTACATGGGGAGGTAATACATTTTCCCTGCCCCTGCCCACATGACTTTTCTGTACTTTAAATCGCTATTATCTTATTCTTATATAATAGGAAAAGTTAACCTTTGGTTAATACATAAGATAATAAGATTTAAAGAATAATACATAAGATAACAGGATTTAAAGTACAGAAAATCAGTGTACAGTGAATACTTATGGGAACAAATCTACAAATCATATTTTAAAGCTTAGTATGTCTTTATTTTCATATGTTAATACTCCTGATCAAGGAACTGATCTTTTTTAAAAAAGATTTTAACCCCTTCCCACCCCCACCAGCGTCTAGTAGCTACCATTCTACTATCTGCTTCTGTGAGTTCAACTTTTAAAGATTCTACATGTAAGTGAGATCATGTGCTATTTGTTTTTCTGTGCCTGGCTTATTTCATGTAACATAATGTCCTCTAGGTTCACCCATGTTGTTGCAAATGAAGGATTTTCTTCTTTTTGAGGTTGAATAATTTTCCGTTGTGTGTCTATATATACCATGTCTTAGTTTCTGTTGCTTATAATAGAATACCTAAAACTGGGTAATTTATAAATAAAAGGTATTCATTTATTATAGTGTGGAAGCTGAGAAGTCCAAGGTCAAGGGGCTTCATCTGGTGAGAGCCTTCTTGCTGGTGAGGTCTCTATAGAGTCCCAGGGCAGTCCGGGGAATCACATGGCAAGGGGACTTAGCGTGCTAGTCCTCTTCTTATAAAGCCACCACTCCCATGATAACCCATTAATCCACTAACCCATTAGTCTATTAATCCATGACCCAAACACTTCTTAAAGACCGCATCTCTCAACACTGCCACATTGGCGGTTAAATTTCAACATGAGTTTTGGAGAGGACAGATATTCAAACCGTAGCACCACATTTTATTTATTCATTTATTTGCTGTTGTACACTTAGGTTGATTCTGTATCTTGGCTATTGTGAATAATGCTGCAATGAGCATGGGAATGCAGCTATCTCTTCAACATAGTGATTTCATTTCTTTTGAATATATACACAGAAGTGGAACTGCTGGATCATATAGTAATTCTACTTTTAGTTTTTTGAAGGGCCTCCAAACTGTTTTCCGTAATGTTGTACCAATTTACATTCCCACCAACAGTGTATAAGCGTTCCCTTTTCTCCACAAAAGAGTAATCTCTAAACAAATAATTAGCCTTTAGAACAGAAGAGCAAACTGAAGCACAGTTGTCTAATATGCAAATTGTTTTGTTTGCTGGAGGTTTTACCTAGGCTGTCAGTAGTTCTCAACTCTGGTCCCACATCAGAATTACTGGGGAAACAAACAAAAAAATTATTCCCCAGGCTTCATCCTAGACTAACTGAATCAATTTCTGGGGGTAAGACCCAGGCATACATGTTTTGTTTTGTTTTGTTCTGTTTTGTTTTGTTTAAAGCTCTGCAAGTGAGTCCATTGTGCAGCTAGACTTGAGAACTAGCAGACTTTTAGCCTCAGCCCACCAATGCTGATCTGGATAGATTTAGTACATTCATGAGCTAAGGTGAGCTAATATATTATTCAACACCCATGTAAGATTAATAAATTGTGACATCTTACTGTCTTTTCCTTCCCTTTCCTTCTCCTTTGGCTTATTTATTTATTTATTTTTAAACAAGGACCAAGCAGTGAAGGGGGCCAAGCCAGGGAAGGATTCAGAGACAGGAAGGAAGTGCAGCGGATGTGCATAGACAGATGGGAGATCCAGACTTGCAGAATAAACTTTTTGCAAAGGTAGTAAAAATAAATGGGCACCCCCTCCCCACCAAGCCAAGGAAAATTTTCTACAACTAATGTCACTTTGGGGCAGTGGGGGCTAACTTACATTGTTTCAAGAGGCCTAAGGAAACAGACAATTTCTCACTGAAGGAAATTTATTTTGTCTTGACACACCAGACATTATAATGTGCTAGGTTTGTGTGTTTGGACATGGTCTTCTTCAGGTATTTGTGCAGATCCTCTTTGTCTCTAGTCACTAGCCAGAGTTTAGGGGAACTGGTACAATCTAGCCCCCATTAACTCTTGAAACTGACCAGCTCAGGCTCCTTTTTAGAACGAGACTCCAAACTAAGGAGAAATTTTTAGAAGTGGAATAAAATGTACATAATAGGAAATGATACAAACCAACTTACAAAAATCAGTTATATTTAAGTATGTTAGCAATAAATAATCTGAAAAAGAAATTAAGAAAACAATTCAATTTTCAATAGCATCAAAAAGGATAAAATACTTAGGAATAAATTTAACCAAGGAGGTGAAAGACTTGTACAGTGAAAACTTATTGCTAAAAAGAAATTAAAGAAGACATAAATAAATGAAAGACATTCTGTGTTTATGCATTGGAAGACAATAGTGTTATGATGACAGTATTACCCAAAGTGATCTACAGATTCAATGCAATCCCTATTAAAATCCCAATGTTATTGCAGAAATAAAAGGAACCCATTCTAAAACCCATATGGAACCTCAGAGAGCCCCCAATAGCTAAAACAATCTTGAAAAAGAACAACAAAATTGAAGGTTTCATACTTCCTGATTTCAAAACTTACTACAAAGCTACAGTAATCAAAACAGTGTGGTACTGGCATAAGCACAGACATATGGGCCAATGGAATGGAGAGTCTAGAAATAAACCCTTGCATTATATGGTCAGCCTATTTTCAACGAGGTTTGAAATCAATGGGTAAACAACAGTCTTTTCAACAAATGGTGGTGGAAAACTGGATATCCACATGCAGAAGAATAAAGTTGGACCCTTACCTTATACCATGTACAAACATTAACTCAAGATGGATGAAAGACCTAAATTTAAGAGCTAAACTGTAAAACTCTTAGAAGAAAACATAGGGAAAATTTTTATGAAATATTGGATTTAGCAATAGTTTCTTTGGTATGACATCAATAACATAGACAACAAAGCAACCTACAGAATGAGAGAAAATATTTGCTAATCATATATCTAGAAAAGGATTAATAGTCAGAATATGTAAAGAACCCTGCAATTTAATAACAAAACAACCCAATTTTAAAATGGGAAAAGGAATTCGATAGACGTTTCTCCAAAGAAGATACTCAAAAACAATGCTCCACAATTTTAGTCATTAGGGTAATGCAAATCAAAATTACAATGGACTACCACTTTATACCTGCTAAGTTTATTACTATCAAAAAATAGAAAATAATATATATTAATGAGAATATGGAAAAACTGGAACCCTTGTGCATTGCTGGTGAGAATGTAAAATGGTACAGCCATCGAAACAGTTCGGTGGTTTCTCAAAAAAGTTAAAAAAAATAGACATATGACTCAGTAATTTCATTCCTAAGTATGTTTTATTTTTAAAAGAATTGAAAATGGTCATTCAAACAATACTCATATGCCAATATTCATATTATGCATTATTCATAATAGCCAAAATGTAAAAACAACCCAAATGTCCATTAACAGAAGAATGGATAAACAAAATAATGCTAGATATGAATATTACTCAGCTATAAAAAAATGAAGTTTTGATATATTCTACCTGGATAAACCTTGAAAACATTACACTGAATGAAATAAGACAGACACAAAAGGATAAATATTATATGATTACACTTATATGGGGTATCTAGAATAGGCAAAATGATAGAGACAGAAAGTAGAATAAAGGTTACCAGGTGTTGGAGGGAAGAGGAAATGGGAGATGTTGCTTAATGTGTACAAAGTTTCTGTTTGGGATTATGACAAAAGTCTGGAAATAGATAGTTACACAATATGGTGAATGTACTTAATGCTACTAAATTGTATACTTTAAAAATGGTTAAAATTGGCAGGGCACGGTGGCTCATGCCTGTAATACCAGGTCTTTGGGAGGCCAAGGTGGGTGGATCACAAGGTCAGGTGATTGAGACCATCCTGAGTAATGTGGTGAAACCCCATCTCTACTAAAAATACAAAAAATTAGCTAGGTGTTGTGGCACGCACCTATAGTCCCAGGTACTTGGGAGGCTGAGGCAGGAGAATCACTTGAAACTGGGAGGCAGAGGTTACAATGAGCCGAGATGACACCATTGCACTCCAGCCTGGGCAACAGAGCAAGACTCCGTCTCAAAAAAAAAATGGTTAAAATTATAAATTTTGGGTTATGTATATTTTGCTACAATAAAAAAGTGAAAAAATTAACATGACAGGGAAGAGTTGTGAAATGGTTTGAATTTGTGTCCCCACCCAAATCTCATGTCGAATTGGAGGAGGGGGCTGGTGGAAGGTGATTGGATCATGGGGGTGGATTTCCCCTGTGCTGTTCTTGTGAAAGTTTAGAAAATTTGCAGCCTGACCATACGGTAGTAAAGAAAAACCCATTTTCTGGACAGAAAGTCAAGCTGGCTGCAGAAATTTGCATGAGTGGAGCCAAATATTAATATTGAAGACAATGGAGAAAATGTCTCCAGGGCAGTTCAGAGACCTTCACTGTAGCCCCTCCTATCACAGGCCTGGAGGCCTAGGAGGGAAAAATGTTTCATGGGCCAGGCCTAGGGCCTGGCTGCTCTGTGCAGCCTCAGGACATGGCACCCTGAGTCCCAGCTGCTCCAGCTTCAGCTGTGACTAAAAGGGGCCAAGATACAGCTCAGACAATTGCTTCAGAGGGTGCAACCCACAAGCCTTGGCAGCTTCCATGTTGTGTTGGGCCTGGGGGTGCACAGAAGGCAAGAGTTGAGTTTTTGGGAACTGATATGGTTTGGCTCTGTGTCCTCACCCAAATCTCATCTTATAGCTTCCATAATTCTCATGTGTTGTGGGAGGGACCCAGTGGGAGATGATTGAATCATGGGGGCGGGTCTTTCCTGTGCTTTTCTCAAGATAGTTAGTGGGTCTCACGAGACCTGATGGTTTTAAAAATGGGAGTTTCCCTGCACAAGCTCTCTCTTTGCCTGCGGCCATCCATGTAAGATGTGACTTGCTCCTCCTTGCCTTCCATCATGATTGTGAGGCCTCCCCAGCCATGAGTAACTGTAAGTCCATTAAACCTCTCTTTCTTCCCAGTCTTGGGTATGTCTTTATTAGCATATTAGCATTGTGAAAATGGACTAATACAGTAAATTGGTAACAGCAGAGTGGGGTGCTGCTGAAAAGATACCTGAAAATGTGGAAGCAACTTTGGAACTGGGTAACAGGCAGAGGTTGGAACAGTTTGGAGGGCTCAGAAGAAGACAGGAAAATGTGGGAAAGTTTGGAACTCCCTAGAAACTTGTTGAATGGCTTTGACAAAAATGCTGATAATAACATGGACAATGAAATCCGGGCTGAGGTGGTCTCAGATGGAGATGAGGAACTTGTTGGGAACTGGAGCAAATGTGACTCTTGTTATGTTTTAGCAAAGAGACTGACAGCATTTTACCACTGCCCTAGAGATTTGTGGAACTTTGAACTTGAGATAGATGATTTAGGGTATCTGGCAGAAGAAATTTCTAAACAGCAAAGCATTCAAGAGGTGACTTAGGTGCTGTTAAAGGCATTCAGTTTTATAAGGGAGGCAGAGCATAAAAGTTCAGAAAATTTGCAGCCTGATAATGCAATAGAAGAGAAAATCCCATTTTCTGAGGAGAAATTCAAGCCTGCTGCAGAAATTTGCATAAGTAACAGGAGCCAAATGTTAATCCCCATGACAATGGGGAAAATGTCTCCAGGCCATGTCAGAGACCTTTGTGGCAGCCCCTCCCATCACAGGCCAGGAGGCCTAGGAGGAAAACGTGGTTTCATGGACCAGGCCCAGGATCCCTGTGCTGTGTGCAGCCTGGGGATTAGGTGCCCTGTGTCCCAGCTGTTCCAGCTGGCTAAAAGGGGCCAATATAGAGCTTGGGCTGTGGCTTCAGAGGGTGCAAGCCCCAAGCCTTGGCAGCTTCCACATGGTGTTGAGCCTGCAGGTACACAGAAGTAAAAAATTTAGGTTTGGAAACCTCCACTTAGATTTCAGAGGAAGTATGGAAATGCCTGGATGCCCAGGTGGAAGTTTGCTACAGGGGCAGGGAAGTCATGGAGAACCTCTGCTAGGGCAGTGTGGGAGGGAAATGTGAGGTCAGAGCCCCGACACAGAGTCCCTACTAGGGTACTGCCTAGTGGAGCTGTGAGAAGAGGGCCACTGTCCTCCAGACCCCAGAATGGTAGATCCACTGACAGCTTGCACCATTCGCCTGGAAAACCACAGACACTCAATGCCAGCCCATGAAAGCAGCCAAGAGGGAGGCTACATCCTGCAAAGCCACAGGGGCAGAGCTGCCCAAGACCATGAGAACCCACCTCTCACATCAGTGTGACCTGGTTGTGAGACATGGAGTCAAAGGAGGTCATTTTGGAGCTTTAAGATTTGACTGCCCTGCTGGATTTCGGACTTGCATGGGGCCTATAGTCCCTTTATTTTGGCCAAATTCTCCCATTTAGAATGGCCATATTTACCCAATGCCTGTACTTTCATTGTATCTAGGAAGTAACTAACTTGCTTTTGATTTTACAGGTTTATAGGTGGAAGGGACTTGCCTTGTCTCAGATGAGACTTTGGACTGTGGACTTTTGAGTTAATGCTGAAATGATTTAAGATTTTGGCGGGCTATTGGGAAGGCATGATTGGTTTTGAAATGTGAGGACATGAAATTTGGGAGATGCCGGGGCAGAATAATATGGTTTGGCTCTGTGTCCCCACCCAAATCTCATCTTGTAGCTCCCATAATTCCCATGTGTTGTGGGAGGGACCTGGTGGGAGATGATTGAGTCATGGGGATGGGTCCTTCCTGTGCTGTTCTCATGATAGTGAATGGGTCTCACAAGATCTGATGGTTTTAAAAATGGGAGTTTCTCTGCACAAGCCCTCCCTCTGCCTGCTGCCATTCATGTAAGATGTGACTTGCTCTGCCTTGACTTCCACCATGATTGTGAGGCCTCCCCAGCCATATGAAATTGTAAGTCCATTAAACTTCTTTTTCTTCCCAGTCTCACGTATATCTTTATCAACAGCTTGAAAATGGACTAATTCATGAACCTCCACCTAGATTTCAGAGGATGTATGGAAATGCCTGGGTGTCCAGGCAGAAGTCTGCTGCAGGGGCAGAGGCCTTATGGAGAACCTCCACTAGGTTTGTGTGGAGGGGAAATGTGGAGTTGGAGCCCCCACACAGAGTCCCCACTGTGGCACTGCCTAGTGGAGCTGTGAGAAGCAGGCCACCATCCTTCAGACCCCAGAATGGTAGATCCACCAACAGTTTGCACCATGCACCTGGAAAAGCTGCAGGCACTCAATGCCAGCCTGTGAAAGTAGCCACAGGGGCTATACCCTGCAGACCCACTGGGGTGGAGCTGCCCAAGGACTTGGAAGAGCATCCTTGCATCAGCATGCCCTGGATGTGAGACATGAATTCAAAAGAGATTATTTTAGAGCTTTAAGATTTAATGACTTCCCTGCTGAGTTTTGGATTTGCATGAGGCCTGTAGCCCCTTTGTTTTGGTCAATTTCTCCCTTTTTTTTATTTGAGATTGTGTCTCCCTCTGTTGCCCAGACAGGAGTGCAGTATCACGATCTTGGCTCACTGCAGCCTCTACCTCCTCAGTGCAAGCAATCCTCCTGCCTCAGCCTCCAAGTAGCTGGGATTACAGGCACGTGCCACCACACTTGGCTAATTTTAAAAATATTTTTAGTAGAGACAGGGTTTCACCATGTTGCCCAGGCTGGTCTTGAACTCCTGACCTCAAGTAATCCACCTGCCTTGGCCTCCCAAATTGTTGGGATTTCAGGTGTGAGCCACTGCACCTGGCTGCAATTTCTCCCTTTTGGAATGGTAGCATTTACCCAATGCCTATATCCCCCTTGCATCTTGGAAGTAACTAAGTTGTTTTTGATTTTACAGGTTCATAGGCAGAAGGGATTTATTTGTCTCAGATGAGACTTTAGACTGTGGATTTTTGAGTTAATGTTGAAATGAGTTAAGATTGGGAGACTATTGAGAAGGGATAATTATATTTTGCAATGTGAGCAGGACATGAAATTTGAGAGGGGTTGGGGTGGAATTATATGATTTGGATTTGTGTCCCCACCCAAATCTCATGTTGAATTGGAGGAGGGGCCTGGTGAGAAGTGATTAAATCATGGATCATGGGGGTGGATTTCCCCCTTGCTGTTCTCATGATAATAAGTGAGTTCTCACAAGATCTGATGGTTTAAAAGTGTATGGCACTTCCCCCTGCATTCTCTCTTTCTCCTGCCACTATATGAAGAAAGCACTTGGTTCCCCTTCACCTTCTGCTATGATTGTAAGTTTCCTGAGGCTCCCTAGTCATCCTTCCTGTTAAGCCTGAGGAACTGTCAGTCAATTAAATCTCTTTTCTTCATAAATTACCCAGTTTCAGGTAGCTCTTTATAGCAGTGTGAAAACTGACTAATGCAAGTTGAAAGAAAAAGAAGAGCCAGATAAAAGTGAGTGAGGGAAACAGAGCCAGGAAATCTTAGAAGTCCAGCCACCATATATATTTTTTGACACTACTCAGAAACAACAAACGGGAAAGCTTTGTGAAGTTTGAAAAACTGTCTGGACCAAATCTCCTTTTAAAAGTTCAAGAAAACAAAATTCATGTAAAAATGATCAACAAAAAAAATACTAAGGTCAACTCTCATATAGCTACTACAACAAAGTGAATAAAGATCATAATAACCTCCAGAAAGATATTCTCAAAAAAATTAAAGCTATAATGTCCTAGAAAAGCTAATACACACTGAGTGACATGAAACATGAAAGAACAACATACATCAGAATTAGAGAAACTCAGAAATTAGAACAGAACTCACAGAAGAATTAAACGTTTTATTTTTTATTTTTTTTTGGAATTAAACATTTTAAAAAGCATTTGAGAAATAAAGATTGACCTATAAGGAACACAAGAACACATAAATATAACTAATAAAAACTTAAAAGAAAATAAGGTAAAAAGGAGGGAAATTTATAAACTTAAAAACAAATGAAGAAAGAAATTAAAAAGATTTAAGGGAAAGTGACAAATGTTGAAGATAGACAAAAAAGGTTCAATATGCAGATAATAGAAGTCTCCAGAGAAGCAGTCTAAAGCAATCCAAAACAGAACAAATATTTAAGACTTTAATTGAAGAAAATTTTCCTGAAATTAACAAAATATATGTATTTGAAACCACATTTTGAAAGAAATACACACTGTTTACTTTCAAACTAGAATGACCAACAAACATTCTAATAAAATTACTGGATTTGAAAGAAAAAGATAAAGTTATTTGGGCATCTAGGCAAAGTGAGAAGGTGCCGTCTACAAACCAGAAAGAGGGCTCTCAACAGATACTGAATCTGTTGGAGCCTTGATCTTGGACTTCCCAGCCCCCAGAACTATAAGAAATAATGTTTCTTGTTTATAAGCCACTTATTTTGTGTTTTTTTTTTTTGTTGTTGTTGTTATAGCAACCCAGCTGGACCAAGACACCAAGTAGTTTGAATCCAACAAAATTGACCTTCAAGTAAAATGGCATGAACAAACTGTAAGCAACATGCAAGAACTCAGAGCATATTCTTTCCATGAGCCCTTCCTAAGGAATCTAGTAGAGGACAAGCTTTCAGACAACCAAAATGACTAAAGATACATAAACATAAGGAACTAATGGTAAGCATTAAATATATATTTGAACTTTAATTAGGATTAGAATTGTAGAACTGTAAAATTAAGACTAAATTAGGGTTAAATAGGAAGATTATGGTATAGATGGCTATAGAAGCTGATAATTTAGATAGAGTATAACTATAAAAGATGGATAGCATATGCAAAAAAAACTGTTTTCAAGAATCAAAACTGATGATGGTAGTATTAATATTGTTATTCTGAGATTATTATTATATGTTTAATGCAAACTAAAGCAAATTAGTAAATTGGGATATTCTAATTTCATCCTCCCTTTTGTCCTTGAGAACCAGAATTCTCTACATGAAAGAAAAGAGGTCCTAATGTAATATATGTTAAGTAAAAACTACAGTCCTGAAATTAAATTGGAAATAATATAAACTGATGAAAATATTATGAAGAATAATATTTCTCTAGAATATAAAAAAATGAAGTATTCTTTAGTAGCTCTGTCTATTGAAAAGGCCTAGAAACAGTTACCAACCTAGTAACAATGAATACTCCTAGTGCTCATATTGTTATCTTAAAATTTCAACAAAAGAAACTAGAGCTTCTGGCCAGGCGGGGTGGCTCATGCCTGTAATCCCAGCACTTTGGGAGGCCGAGGTGGGCAGATCACGAGGTCAAGAGATTGAGACTATCCTGGCCAACATGATGAAACCCCGTCTCTACTAAAAATACAAAAATTAGCTGGGTGTGGTGGCACGTGCCTATAATCCCACCTATTCAGGAGGCTGAGGCAGGAGAATCCCTTGAACCAGGGATGTGGAGGTTGCAGTGAGCCGAGATCGTGCCACTGCACTCTAGCCTGGTGACAGAGTGAGACTCCATCTGAAAGAAAAGAAAGAAAGAAAGAAGGAAAGAAGGAAAGAAGGAAAGAAAGAAAGAAAAAAAGAAAGAAAAAGAGAGAGAGAAGGAAGGAAGGAAAGAAAAAACAAAAAAACTAGAGCTTCTTGGAGAAATGGCTGATTCCAGGTTTGAGGCAGCAAATGTACAGATGTGCCTGGAACATCTTGTCATATCAGATAGCAAGGAAGCTATCAAAGACTTCTAGGGTCTTTGAAGCTCTTTGCACACTAGTGAGAGAGAGAGAGAGAGAAAAAAAAAAAGACTACTAGAATCTTATCAAAAGGAGCCAGGAGCCATATTGAAGAAGCTCCTACTGGCCAAAGATGGGACAATTTGAGCTCTAATATCGTAGATGGAAACCTATCAAATATATTTAAATTCATGAATTTATAATGATATTAAAGAAATCTAAGAATGACAGAGAATCAATTCCTTAACTTGAAAACTGGGTAATTTTTTTAAAAAAAAGCAGGTATTCATCGTGCCTTTCCTATCTCAGGGTAATCAAATAGTAGATGAGAGGAAGCATCTCCTTATCCACTTATGAACTAATAAATGAAAACAAAATTATTAGAATACCATGATTTTGCAAACTTCAATTAATTAATGAATCTAGGAATTGAGCATCGACGGCTGTTAACCTCAAAAAAGAGCAAACACCAGACATCATGATCATGTACCTCTTGAAGAAAAGAACACACAACCATCTATAATCTTACAAAAGACATCAAACTTCAGTCTGAGGAAGACCCTGGATCAGCTGCCAACTTGCTGTCAATACAGAGGACAGAGAAACATGCTGAATTGCCTCATGAATGTGCAACCCCCAGACTCTGGAAAACCTCACAGATCAAGGGCTTAAGTTATTTAACAAATAATTGTAAGGAAAAGACTGAAAAGGCAAATCAAATTAAAAAAAAAAAGAGTGGGGGGAGGGGTAAGGTGCACCCTTGGAAGATACCAAGAAAAACAAAAGCAGCAGAAGTGACTACATGAAAGTCAGGTTAGTGGTTACTTTTGGGAGGAGGGAGAAAGGGGGTTGTCATTGAGGTAGGGCACATGGAGAGGCTCCTGGGGTGGCTGGCAGAGTTCTATTTCTTGATCCAGGTGGTGATTACAAGGATGTTCCCTTTATAATAATTCACTAGTCTATATATCTATATATTTGTTTTTTGTGGTTTTCTGTATTTATGTTTTATTTTACAATTAAAAAATTTTTAAAAACACTCCTTAACCTGCAGTAAACAGTTTTTTTAAAAAAAACAAAAGAAGGTCCAAGTGAAGAGATCAGAAGCTATAAAATATTTCATATTGGGTGCAAACTAAATATAAAGCAAGCCAAAACCAGAAACACCTCCTCCCCCTCCCCTCCCCCCCCTCCCCTTTCCCCTTTTTTAATTTAAAGAACTTTGTAGGTATCTTCCAAACCAATGAGAGATTCTTAACACACACAAAGGGAGGATGTCAGAGGAACCATGGGGCTGAGTTGCACCACTGGAGGATGTCTGAAAAAAACTACATAGACAACCTTCCAGCACTAAAACTTTAGCCCCATGGTTCCGCTGACATCTTCATTTTACAGATTAGAAAACTGAGGCCCAGAGGCAGCCAGTGTCTCATGCACGCTCACGAAGCTAGCATCAGACCCCGACCTAAGGCCTAGGTCTCCCAGTGTAGGACTAAGACACGCACCAAGACAGTACCAGCCCGCTGACCGCCGCCTGCGAGGAGTTAACTGGGGCGGTGCAGGATAAGTGCGAGGGGGGCCCGGGTCTGGCGCTAGGTTTGGCTGCGGATTCTCCGCTCCGGACTCCGAGGCAGAAGGCGGGTGGGCGTGGCGGGAAGGGCAGCAGGTCCACTCCCCGAGCGCTATGCAAATGTCATGCAAATCAGTGCATGGGGGCTGGAGCGGGTGGTTTGAGTCCTGACCCCGTAGCGCCGCGCTCTCACTCGCTCTCCTCAGCGCGCGTCCGCTCTCCGCTCTCCCACTTGCTCTCTCTCTCGCCGGTTCGCTCACCCCCGCCCCGCCCCGCCCCGCCCCGCCCTGCCCAGTCCCGGACGCGCCTCGCGGGCTCCCCGCGCCGCCCGGTCGGCAGCAGGGCGCTGAGCGAGCTCGGAGCCCGCGCTGTGCGCCTGCGGCCGGGGCGCCCCGCCGAGCGCCGGTGCCCCGGCTCCCGGGCCGCCTTCGCCGCGCGGGTGAGTGAGCCCGCCCCATGCTTTTGTCCAGGCGCGGGCCCTGGAAGTCAAGGCTCCGAGGGTGGGAGTTCTGGGTGGGGGCTGGGACCCCCACCGTCTGTGCCTCCCGACTCCCCTAATGGAGAGGGGCCCCGGGGTGCGGCGAGGAGTCAGGGGCGTAAGGAGACGACCCCAGTGACGCCAGGCTGCACGAGTTTTCTTTTGGGGAGATGAAGTGCTTGGGGACACTGATGCGATTGCCTTTCTAGGAATCATCCGAAGGGGGTGCCTTTGATTTGAGGGGCGGAGGAGAAGCGGACCCTTCTCCCAGCTCCCAGACCCTCGCTAGAGGACTCGGTGACGGCCTCTGGGAAGGGGGTGCCACGTGAAGGTCCTTCCAGCCCAAATGTGATTCCGGGAAGGTAGGGCGGGGAAGGCGGCCCGCGAGTGCCAGACCTGGCCATCCCAGGCGAAGCTGGGGCGCGGGCTTTGCAGACTTGTTCCTACTCCATACTCCTCATTTAAGCTCCTTACCTCGCTCTGCCTCCTTCGCGTTAACTGGGGTCCCATTGTTGAGGGACCTTGTTCGCCGATGATTGCAGTTGGAAAGTTTTGGATAAACTTCTCAGGAGATGTGAGTTGTCAATGGTTGAGGTAGACCCCTCCCTGGAACTTATGGAACTAAAACCCTTCAAGACCCAAAGGACTGAATTTCTAGGAGTGGCATTGCAGATGTGAAGATGGGCTGATGGGGAAATGGTTTCAAGGATATATATTTTTTTTAGATTGGGGTGTGTGTGTTGGGGTGCGGGGCACTTTCTATTTCGTAGCCAGAAGGAGAAGACCCAGCTCTACTAGAGTCTAGAGGGAGTAAAATTAGCTGTTGTGATTCAGGGAGCTGGGTGGGTGTAGGGAAACACCTGGGCAGTGGGCATGATGCCAGACCTCAGGCCGTTGGTTTTTACCATCCCTCCTCTCCCCAAGTGCAAAGACCAGAGTATATGCAATGACCCGCCCACCCCACAGCCTTTGAGAGCCTGCCCTGGAGCTGCATCCCCCTTCCAAGAGAGGCTGTGTTCTTCTCCACCTGAATGGAATACTTTTTGTCAAAATGCACTTATCAATAAATTATTTCCAGATGGTGGGCTTAGGAGGACCATTTGGGGAACCCCGCCCACACTTCAAAGAATCAGGAATCAACAATGCAAGTCTCTGGGAGAAGTGTAGGTGCATCTGGTGACTTTACTAGGTTCCTACAAGGCATTTAGGGTTCTAATAGAACTGTTTTCTTTTCTCTTAAATTCTTGACCTCCTTCTCTCTTCCGTGATTCTCTTAGTCTCTTCCCCGCCTGCACACTGTGGGACTGTGGAGGATGATGCTGCTGGCACCACAGTGCTCTAGGGCAGCATGGAATTTTCCTTCCTGCCCAGAGTGAGGTTACCCCTTTTTCTCCCACTCTCAGTGGGCCAGGAGCCTTGGGTCTGGGAGGAACCTGAGCAGTTGGTCCTGGGTCCGGAGTGGTTGGACTCTGGATGCTGGATTGGGTAGCGGGTACTCTGGGGACATGCACAAGAGCTTTTTTTGCCAAGATGTGCAGGTCTGTCTCATTGTTCACTGATGATACAAAGGATGCTGGACCTCATTTGCAGCTAAGCATGAGCTTGGAGAACCACCCCACAGTGGGGAAGCATTTATGCTGGTTTATCTCCCATGTTCAGTTTCTTTTGTGTAATAACTGGCTAGCTGAGGAGGAGGGTAGCTGCAGCATTGTAGATGTTTCCTTGTCTTATTTTTATTTTTATTTTTTATTTTGAGACAGGGTCTGGCTCTGTTGCCCAGGCTGGAGTACAGTGGCGTGATCTCAGCTCACTGCAACCTTGACCTACCAGGCTCAAGGAATCCTCCACCTCAGCCTCCTGAGTAGCAGGGACTACAGGTGTGTGCCACCACACCTGGCTAGTTTTTTGGATTTTTTGTAGAGATGGGGTCCTACCATGTTGTCCATACTAGTCTAATGGGCTCAAGTGATCGCCCACCTCTGCCTCCCAAAGTGCTGGGTTACAGGCATGAGCCACTGCACCCAGCCAGAGTAGTTGCTGTTTGTGTGAGGTTTGCTCACCCCTTCATCAGGGGCTGCTTCCCCAGGGGCCAGATCTTAGAAAACATATGCAGAGCAGACTAGGCCTTGGAACATTCCTAGGCTAACTGGTAAGGCCAGGTGGCCCCACCTGCTGCCTGAAAATGGTAGACAGACAGCTACAGTCACTGCAGAGGAGGGGCTCCTGGCTGGCAGGTGGCGGGGGTAATCTGCTGAGAAGGCTTGTCAGAGAAGGAGGTGACCCAGATGGTGCAGAGGGGAGAGGCCTTTGAGTTCCAAGGGTGGGGAAAGGTTCTGGGTCTCTGGCTAGGGAGATCTTTGCTGGTCTCAGAGGCATAGATTGTGAATGCGCTGGGGTCACCATATACTCAGTGTCTTTGAGAATGACCCCTTGCTTTTATCCTCAAAATATAAGATGAGCCTAGAGTTTGAAACACAACTAGTTGGCTTGTCTGTCTTTTAGGAAGTTCATAAGGTGGGGTGGGGGTTTCAGAATGCAGCCTTGCTTGGGGACATGGGTACAGTGTCCCATGAGTATGGGGTGTCTTATTTAGTATCTTTCTGAGAACAATACTTGGGAGTCTGGAAATATAAGCCTACTTGGAAGCCCAGCTGCACCTCTCACAGCTCAAACCAACCCACACAGGCTGGGAGATTGTTCATTCTTAAAAGCTTCCTGTCCTGTCTTTTCAGCAAATGTAGTAAAATTTAGAAACAACACTTAAAAAGTATCCTTTCCCAACAAAAGACAATGTCCTCGCTCAACTTGGCCAGCAGAGGGTGCATGCAGAGGACATGAGGCAGGGCCATTTGCATGGAAAATGTCCATGTGGATGCTTAGGCCTGAGCAGGGTCTATTGGGTGGCCTGAGTGCTCAGAATCAAGGAACCGTCCAGCAGTGAGCCAGAGTGGGACAGAACGATGTCACTGTGATGAGCTCCTATGCCATGTGACTTCTATCTCTTCCCTGTGCTCCCCCAGCCTCCTACCTTACAAGCAGGCAGACATGGTTGTGCGGGGAAGCAGTGCCCATACAAGCCACGCCCCTCTCCCACCTGCACCATTCTGCAGATGGATTCTCTTTATTCTTCCTTGAGTTTTGGCTGCACACTTTTCCATTCGTTTGATGCCAACAGGTTGAGCAAATGCATTCCCCTCACAAACTCAAGGTGGGTGGACCTCCGTATTTGCACTGCGGGCCAACAGGTGCATCCCTCCTCCTTGTTGCATGCACCTGGTGTGTGAGGGCTGCAGCCCCCATGAAATTTACTGACAGCCAGCCCAGTCAGCTGGGGCAGGAGGAGAGCCAGCAACAGTTGCTGCCTCATGGGCTGGAAGGTAAGGCTGTGTTTCCAGATGCTCCCACCACCTTCTTTTCCCTGCCCTCCTGCTCACTGTACTTCAGTGTCTGAGGGTGAATGGGCACCCCACTAGGGAGCTGTGGAAATTTTTGTGTAGATCCAGCTTCTTAGATTTCCCACGTTGTCCCCATCCCCCCTCTGTTGGTACTTCCTTGCCCCCCTTCCACCCTCTGCTCCTCTCCTTCCCTGGGTCTTCAGTGCAGAGCCCTCTGGAGACAGAAAGCCCCTTTGGAGACAAAAGAAAAGGGATGAGGAGAGGATTTCCTTTTCTTTCAGACCTGCTTCTTGATTTTTTTTCCCTTGGCTCTGGGCGCTCAGATCTGATGCTAATTTGTTAATCCAGGACCTTATGGGTTATTTCTCATAATCTTTGGGGGAACCGAACACCTGCAACTTGGGGCTTTTATAGTTGAGGATGCTGTTTACCTTTCTTGTTTTCAGAGATGAGGATTTCTGATGTATAGTAGGTCTCATTCAGGTTTCTGGCAGGAGGAGGCAGCCAGGCAGAATGTGATCTTTGGTGTTAAACTTGGGTTCAGTTCCATCCCATTCACTTACTGGCTGGGTGTTCTTGGGCATGGGTTTTAACCTCTGTGAGCTGACTTGAGTTTTGTCATCTGACAATGAGGGCGGTTATAAAAATTAAATGAATATAGGAATATAAATAGGCACAAAACAAAGAATAGCTTTTATTATATATACCGGGCAGTGTTCTCCAGGTCTATATAATGACTTGTAAATCAACCAGCAGACACTAATGATGTCTACTTTCTATTGAGCTCTGTAGAGGCTTATAAAACAAAGGTAAATGTGGGCCAGGCACGGTGGCTCACGCCTGTAATCCCAGCACTTTGGGAGGCCAAGGCAGGTGGATCACAAGGTGAGGAGATTGAGACCATCCTGGCTAACGCGGTGAAACCCCGTCTCTACTAAAAATACAAAAAATTAGCCAGGTGTGGTGGCGGGCGTCTGTAGTCCCAGCTACTCGGCTGTAGTCCCAGCAACTCGGGAGGCTGAGGCAGGAGAATGGCATGAACCCAGGAGGCGGAGCTTGCAGTGAGCCAAGATGGCGCCACTGCACTCCAGCCCAGGCGACAGTGTGAGACCCCGTCTCAAGAAACAAACAAACAACAACAACAAAAAACAAAGGTAATGTGTCTATGCTAAGAGACTCTGGGTGGGTAGCAAGAGAGCTAACACATAGGTAATTAGAAAACAGGGACAACATGCAATTTCCAAGTTTCATTAACAGAATTAAAGGATGACAAGAAATTCAGGGGCTAGAGTGATGCAGGAAGGCCTCAAAAATGGAGAGGAGGAAGGGAGGGTAAGCATTTGCCAGGAGAGAGGAAGGCAGGAACATTTGGCTCCGGTGTCTGAAGGCTGTTAGCTCCTTCCTTGCTGGGCCCTGGCACAACACCTTTGACCTTGCAGCGCACTCCCAAACATGCAGGTGTGCTTGTCCTGAGGTTTATTTTGGGGGTGGTTTTCATTCTGGCCTTGTTTTCCCTCTGCTGCCAATAATATTTCTGAAACATCTGAAATTGTTTTATTTTATACTCGATCAAAAATATTAAGAGGCAATTGGGTGGCCAGAGTGAAAGCCCAGAGGCCCGTAG
Source organism: Homo sapiens (assembly GCF_000001405.40). Lineage (NCBI taxonomy): Eukaryota > Metazoa > Chordata > Mammalia > Primates > Hominidae > Homo > Homo sapiens. The sequence continues at coordinate 123,879,147 of NC_000003.12, read as the reverse complement.
AAGACTTTTGGGTTTCTGGGGCTTTGTGTTCTCTTTTCATGCCTCATATATTGTAGCTCACTTCCTAGTTCTGGAATCACAGGGTGTTAGGACTAAGGGTCAGGTCCACTTGACCTTTGCATTGGACTGAAGAGGAAACTCTGGCCTAAGATGCCAAGTGGTGGCTGGGCACCGTGGTTCACGCTTGTAATCCCAGCACTTTGGGAGGCCAAGGCGGGTGGATCACCTGAGGTCAGGGTTCAGGACCAGCCTGACCAACGTGGTGAAACCCCATCTCTACTAAAAATCCCAAAATTATCCAGGTGTGATGGCAGCCTCCTGTAATCCCAGCTACTCGGGAGGCTGGGGCAAGAGAATCACTTGAACCCAGGAGCAGAGGTTGCAGTGAGCTGAGATCATACCACTGCACTCCAGCCTAGGCAACAAGAGCAAGACTTCGTCTAAAAAAAAAATCCAAGTAGTAGAGCCAGCATCAGCCAGAGTTCTCATCACTACCTATCCTGGTGGAGGATGGTGATGGCATAGGAAGGTGAACGGCCTGACATAGGCAGGAAGAATGGATACACATTGGTTCCCTCATCTGCCCACCTGCTTCTCTAGAGTCCTTTAAGGCTGTCCTCTTTAGTCTGAGGGTCCAATGGGGAGCAGGAGTGAATGTCCTACCTTTATCTGGCCTGTGATCACTGCCATCTGTCTGCTTCAGGGCCCCTGGATACCGAGTGCTGTTCCCCTTTCCTGGGGTCAGACTACATGGAATGTCATCTGAGGCTGTGGGAAACACCAGGAAGATGCCCCGGGTTTGGGGGCTAGCTTCAGCACTGTCTTCTGCTATGTGACGTGGTATCTCCAGGTCTCAGATTGTGCACCTTTAAATGGACAGAGAAGCCCTTCTCTACTCATCTGATGAGGCTGTAGGCAGATGAACACGTGCTTGGCAACCTGTGCTTGTGCTGTGGTCGTAAGGGTAGTGTCCTGCTAGGCACTGTGCTCCTGGAGGTCACCAGCTGTGGTTCATCTTGTATCCTTACTCATAGCCTGGTGCCTGACACACCACAGGTGCTCAGTACATCTGGGTGGAAGGACTGGCTAATGGGGTAAATGGAGGTGCTCAGAGAAGATTCTAAGGGATTTGCTGTGTGCCACTCCATGAGAAGGCACTTTCCACTCATTCACCTCACTTCTTCAGTTATGTCTTCTGTAGGGCTAGGTATACTTCATTCTAACTTTTCTCCTGAGCTTTATGCATCTTTCCAGCCAAGTACTGAGTCCATTCACAGAACATGACTCAAGCAGATGTATTCCTAAACTTCCCCATTGTCCAAGTTAAATTTCCATTTGGTATTTTCCTATTAGTGTCAACAGGGTGATCATTTTCGTAATCACTTGGTTGCTGATCTTGTGGAAACGAGTATGTTCATGAGGAAGCAGCAGGTGGCTTTAGAACGTGCCTGGAGGAACAGTTCTTATCTTGCAACCTGCCTCTGATTACTATCAAAAGCTCCTGCCTTTCCAATAGTCACTCATGGTATACATGATACAATCAACGCAGTTGCTACTGATGTTACCCAATAGTATGTTTTAGGGAGTTCTCAGGCTTCTTATTGTGATTGGGCAGGCACCTAGGGACTCAGCTCCTCCCCTGTGGGCCTGCTGATTATCCCAGGCAGAGAAACACTTGGTTTTACTTTGATATTACTATTTTTTCCTGACCAGACCGTACTAGCTCACACTTGGAGTATTAACTGTGGCTTCTCTGTAGCCCAAATACATCGTACACTTGATTGCTTTGTTGATCTAAAACATAGTCTGACTGTGTCACCACCTTCAGGAACCCCCGGTGGCTCCCTGTTTCACACAGAACAGCCTTAAGCCATTCACAGGCCTCTATAATCTGACCTCCAAGCCCAGTCTCATAGCAGCCACCCCCACACTCCTTGATCCCACTACAACCAGACTTCTTGTCTCAGCCCAATTGATACTTTCCTGTGTCTCTGACTGTGACTGTGAGTTCATCCTCACCTGGAATATTCTTCACTTGTCTGTTTGATTGACAGGTTCTTCTATCCTTAAACATTTGTTCAGGGAATGAGTTAAGTTCCTAATAACTGTCAGATACTGCCCCCAGAGGCTGCCTCTGACCTTTTCAGCCTCAACTTCTCTAGAAATAAGTCCCTGTAAAATTCTTTTTACAGAGACAAGTCATAAATTATTATGGTATGTTTTTATCATTTGTTTAATTTTTCTCATGCTAAAATTTTATATCTGTAACTATACTGAAAAAACATCAAGGGAAGGACATGTTAATGCCTCTGTTTCCTCATAGCAGTGGTTCCAGAACTGGCTGATAACAAAATCTCTTTGGGAACCTTGTTTGAAAAATAATCTATGGCTCCCCAGTCCCAGCCCAGACTACCTTGGTGGGGTCAGGGAATCTCTGGTTTAACAAAGCTTTCCAGATGTTTGTGATGTCAACCTGATTTGATGTTTCACTATGTAATTGTTTCTATTATTTCTTTGATTTGTGTATTAGGAAGGATTCTTCAAAATTAACAGAAACCAATTCGGGCCAGCTGAAGAGAAAAAATAAAGGTAATAGCATGATAAAAGATGGATTCTTATATTTTCTTTATTCCAAATTATAGCCACTAAGATTCGTATCACTTTATAGTTTCTCAGGAAAAAGCACTTCCTTTCATATAGACAATTTTAGAAAAGTTTCTAAATTACAATATACCTTAATTTTTGAAATTGCATACCAGTTTTTTCATCATTATAATCAAAATATAAAGATCCTTCTGAACTATGATAATGTGATAACTGATATAATCTATCAGAGTTACATATGATTTCAAGGTGAAATGCTGTTTTTCATAATCTGTGTTCATGATTTTTGAATGTTGATGCATTCTTGCCTTCCTGGAATAAACACTTAGTCATAATGTATAGTTTTTTTAAAAAAAAAATACCCCAGTGACTTTGATTTTCTAATATTTTATTTTGGTTTTTTACATCTGTAGTCCTAAGTGAGATTGAACTATTAATTGTCTTTGCTTCCCTTGGCCAGTTTTGTATGTGCCCACAATTTTGACATTTTTGGCACCTTTAGGATTGACAGAATAAGTCTGAGGAATATTAAAGTCTACCAGGGTTTTGTCTATGTATTCTTTAGATTAAATTTTGAGTTCTAGCTTTTCTATAAGTAATATTGCTAAAAGTTAGATATCTTTTTCTAAAAGTTAACTGGAAACTTTGAAAAAAATAAATATTCAGTATCTACCTGATCATCTGTTGCACATAAATCAGTCACACCAACTTTTCCTAGTTTCGGTGTATTCTGGTCTGGTAAATTTGGCAGTTTCTACTGTCTTTTTATTCCATTGTTTGACAAATGATCAGCATTTTCCCAGGTACACAATAACTTTTCTTTTCAATGCTGCATCATAATAGGTTTTTTTGAAGACTCTTTTTCTTTCTCATGTAAAAAAGTAGATATAATTTATATACAGTAAAATTCACCTGTTTTAATGTACAATTCTGAACAATTAATACATAATTATGAGGAAGTTCAGTTCTGAATTTTGACAAATGTATATATAGTCATATAGGCACCATCACAATTGAGATACAGAAGAGCTCCATCACCTCCCAGAATTGCCTTGTGAGCTTTTGTTGTCTGCTCTCCCACCATGCAGACCTTGGCAGTTACTGATCTGCTTTCTCTCCCTGTGTTCTTTCCTATCTCGGAATGTCATATAAATGGAGTCATGGTTTGTAGGCTTTTTAGTGTGCCTGCTTTCACTTAGCATTAATGTGTTGGAGATTCATCCATGGTGGTGGGTATATCAATAGGTTATTCGTTTTTGTTGCTGAGTATTATTTCATTGTAAAGACGTATCACCGTGTGTTTACCTATTCCCCAGTTGAAGGACATTTGGGCTGTTTCCAGTTTGAGGTGATAATGAACAACTCACTATCAATGTTTGTGAACAGATTTTTAGGTGAACATAGATTTCATTTCACTTGGGTAAATATCTAGGATTGGGGTTTCTGGGAGGTATGGTAAATGTAATGGAATACCAAACTGTTTTCCAAAGTGGCTGTACCATTTTGCATTCCTGGTAGTAATATATGAGGGTTATATTTTCCACATCTTTGTCAGTACTTGGTATTGTCAGATTTTAAAAATTTTAGACATTCTAATAGGTATAGTTTTATCATATTGTGTTTTTAATTTGAATTTCCTTAGTGACTACTGATGTTGAACATCTTTGTACTTATTTGCCAAACATATATTGTCTTTGGTGAAGTATCTGTTTAAGTCTTTTGCCCAAGTTTTATTGGATTGTTTGTTTCCTTATGATTTAGATTTGAGAGCTCTTTATATATTCTGGACATTAATCTTTTATTGGGTACGTGTTTGGCAAATATTTTCTCGCTGCCTGTAGCTTGTCTTCTCATTCTCTTTAACAATGCCTGTTACTGCATGACAGAAGTCTTTAATTGTGATGAAATTCAATTTATCAATTTTTAAAGATGTGTTATGCTTTTGCTGTTATATCTAAGAAATACTAACCTAATGTGGAGTCATTAAGATTTTCTCCAGTGCTTTCTTCAAGACGTTTTACATTTTTAGGTTGTATATTTAGTTCTGATCCATTTTAAGTTAATTTTTATACATGATGTAAGGTATAGATAGAGATTCTGTTGTGCATATGAATGTCCAATAGTGCTAGCACCACAATGAAAAGATTATCCTTCTCTTATTGAATTGTGTTTGTACCTTTGTTGAAAATCAGTTGAGCATGTATGTGTGGTCTATTCTGAGTATTCTGTCCCATTGATTTATGTGTTTATTCTTTCAACAATACCACACTGTATTGATTATTGTAGCTTTATTGTAAGTTTTGAAGTAAGGAAATTTGAGCCCTTCAACTTAGTTCTTTCTTTTCAAAATAGTTTTGGCTATTACAGATTTTTTGGCCTGACATATAAATTTTAGAATCATCTTGTTGGCATCTGCATAAATTCCTGATGGAAGTCTGTTGGTATTGCATTGAATCTATAAGTCAATTTGGAGAGAATTGACATCTTAACAATGTTGGATTTTTAAGTACATAAATAAACTATATTTCTCCATTTAGGTCATCTTTGATTTCCTTATCAATATTTTATAGTTTTTGGCATATACATATTGAACATATTTTGTCATGTTTATAGCTATGTATTTCATGTTTTGGTGTAATTTTTAATGGTACTTTTAGTAAAATTCTGTTTTCCAATTGTTCATTGCTAGTATTTATAACTACAATTGATTTAGTATTTTAATGGATTTTTAAAAATTTAAATCAGAATAAAGTACAGCAAAATGTGTACTTGCAGAGTTTGAAAATCTAATGTGATTAGTAGCTAGCTAAATCTAATGTGTAACTTAAACAATTTAAAAGGCTGGGATATAGAATCAATTTTCAGCCCTCATCTGCTCTTAACTATTTCCCTGAGCTTTTTAATTATTTTTAAGCAACTGATTTTTGTTTGTTGACCTTATATCTTTTGACTTTTCTAAACTGACTTATTAGTTCTAGTAGCTTTTTTTTCTAGATTCTTTGAGATTTTCATCATAGATAATCATGTCATCTCTGAATAAAGATAGTTTTATTTATTCAATTCCAATTTCTTTGCCTTTATTTTACTTGTTTTATTGTGCTGGTTAAGATTTCCAGTATAATGTTAAACAGGAGTGGTGAAAACAGACATCATTGCCTTGTTTCCAATCTTAGGAGGCAGGTGTTGAGTCTTCTATCATCTTGTATGATATTAGTCATAGGTTTTTTGTAGATACTTTTTATCAGGTTGAGGAAGTTTCCTTTTAATTTGCTTAGATTTTCTTTGTCTTTACCGTGAATGAATAATGATTTGTTCAGGCGCTTTTTACGGATCTGTTGAGATGATCATATTTTTTCTTTTGTCCATGAGTTGGCAAACTTTTTCACAAAGGGCAGTGTGAGAAAAATAATAAATATATATTTGGTCTTTATTTTCAGTTTCTGGCATAGAGCTTCTAAAACCCTGGGAGTTTCCTGAGTGAGAGTGGTGAGAGGAATGTCTTTGGTTATTCATAATAAGTCCCTTTCAACCATACCTGAGTTTATGCTGGTGAGGTGACACTTGGTGAGCCCCTATATAGCTTCAGGATGGGGGCTGATTGTCAGAGGAAACAACCATGTAATTAGAAGGTTGGAATTTTCAGCACACCCTGCCCTAACATCTGGGGAGGGGAGAAGGGCTGAAAACTGAGTAAATCATTAATGGCCAGTGATTTAATCAGTGATTCCTATGTAACGGAACCTCCATAAAAACTCCTAATCAAAGGGGTTTGGAGAGCTTTGGAATTGACTAAGCACACTGAGATGCTGGCAAGGTGCTGGCAATGCCTGGAGAGGGCATGGAAGTTCCCTGCTCCTTTTCACATACCTTGTCCTATGTATCTCTTCCATTTGGCTGTTCCTAGATTGTATCCTGTAAAATAAACTGGCAAATATAAGGAAAGAGGGCTCTCAAGTTCTGTAAACCAGTCTAACAAATTATCAAACCCAAGAAGGGGGTCATGGGAATCCCTAACTTATCGTCGGTTGGTCAGAAATAAGAGGGGCCCAGGACTTGTGATCTGAAATGGGGGCAGTCTTGGGGACTGAGCCCTTAAGCTGTAGGATCTAACACTAAGGTTAGATCTAACTCAAGGTTGATAGTGTTAGCATTGAATTGGATTGTAAGACGCAGCTGGTGTCTAGAGAGAGATTCAGTTGGTATGAGGAAAAAAACTCCACATAGCTGGGTGTCAGAAGTGTTCTGGGAGTTAAAAACAGGTCATAATAGCCAGATAACAAATATTTTAGGCTTTGTGGGCCATAAGGTACTTTATTCAACTCTCTACTCAACTCTCATAAATCTCCTCTACTCAGTGATTCAGCTCTGCCATTGCAGCATGAAAGCGGCCACAGACAATAGATGGATAAGTGAATGGATGTGGCTGTGTTCCAGGAAGCTGTATTTACAAAAACAGGCTGCAGGTTGGATTTGGCCTGCTGGTCATAGTTTTCCCAGTCATAGTTTGCTGATCCTTGCTTTAGTCTATTGATATGTGGAATTACAGTAATTGATTTTCAAATGTTTAACCAGCCTTACATTCCCAGAATAAACTCCACTTGTGGTATATTATTAATCTTTTTATATATTGCTGGATTTGGTTTACTCAATTTCATTGAAGTTTTTTGTGTCTATATTCATGAAGGATATTGATCCGATGTCTTTGTCTGGTTTTGGTGTCAGGGTATATTGGTAGCCTTATGAGTTGGAAAGTGTTCCTTCTTCTATTTTCTGGAAGAGTTTGCATAAAACTGTTGTTATTTATTCCTGAAAGTTTTAGTAGAATTTGCCAGTGACACCTGAGCCTGAAGTTGTTTTGCGGCATGATTTTCAACAGCAAATTAAATTATTTAATAAATATAGGACTGTCCAGGTTATTTGTTTCTTCTTGAGTGATTTTCGGTAGTTTGTATCTTTGGGATAATTTGTCTATTTAATCTAAAAGACAGAATATTTATAAATGTTCATAATATTAACTTATTATCCTTTTAATTTCTTTAGGAATTGTAGTAATGTCTCATTTTCTATTCCTGATATTTATAGTTTGTATCTTCTCTTTTGCTCTTGGTCAATCTGGCTAGCAGTTTGTGAATTTTATTGGTTCTTTCAAAGAACCAGGTGTTTGTTGGTTTGAGTTTTCTCAATGTTTTTTGTTTCCAGATTCATTGGTTTTTCTTTATCATATATTCTGCTTGTTTTGGGTTCAGTTGCTCTTCCTTTTCTAGTTTGCTAAAGTGAATGCTTAGATCATTGATTTGAGACCTTTCTTCTTTTCTGATAATTTCTAGGGTTCTCCTTTTCTGGGACAGTTGGGTTGGGAAAGGGGACATGGAGGTGTAGAACCAGTTTTCCTACCTCTAAGCATTTATTAGGAGAGCTTTAGTAAAAGCCTTACCAGCAGGGAGCCCTGAGGCTTCTGCTTGGGGGTGGGACCAATGGGAAGGAGGCGAACGGTCACACCATGGACTGTTTCTTTCATGGGAAGCAGTGGCCTGGTCTTCCCACCCTGACAGTCTAGGACCCTAATGCTCATCTGCCTCCCAATATGGTCTGTAGAAAGGAGAGGAAAGGGAGTTGGAGTTCCTGCAGTTTTGTTGGATGAAAGGGTTCTCTCCTAATAGTTTAGACCAGGAGCTGGTGGACTTTTTCTGTAAAGAGGCAGATACAGATAGAAAATATTTTCAACTTTGCAGGCTATACCATCTCTGTCACAGGTATTCATCTCTGCCATTGGAGCACGGAAGGAGCTGTAGATAACATGTAAATGAATGGGCATGGATGTGTTTCAGTAAACCTGGTTTACAAAAATAGACAACAAGCTGGATTTGGCCCATGGGCCATAGTTTGCCTACACCTACCTGCTTTAGTCTACTAATGTGGTGAATTACATTGATTGATTTTCAACTGTTCCAGACAAGTTGTATTCTTGAGATAAATTCCACTTGGTTTAGAGCATCTGGTCTGTGCTGGCCCTGTCTTTGTTTCTCAGCTTGCATTGTCACTGAGCCATGAGCTTCTCAGGGGTAGGGCCACAATAGGGCCATCTCTGATCTCCTGTCAGGTATATGGTAGATGGCTAGTGAACCTTTGTGGCTGGGTGGAAACACCTGTGCCCTTCAGTGGTACTCTGCTGCAGCTTCCTTTTTGGTCCCCCCAGGAGCCTAGAAGAAACGGAGGTTGGGTGGAGGAGTTGGGCTCAAGTGCTGTCACTGCAGGCCCCAGGCTGATCTTTCATTTTGAGACTCTTTTAGAAATGTGACTCATGTTTGGTCTGTGAGGCATTGCTTTCTAATTACTCTCTGTCCTTTTTCTGGGGGATGTGGTTGGCACCATAGCTGGCAGGCTCAGGAATTCAGGCCTCCAGGTGCCAGCCCAGTGCTGGTGTTCTAAAAGGGCTTGATTGACCCCTTTCCAGGACCATGGCTTTCTAGATCCTTTTATAGAAGAGTGTGCCTGTGTGTGGGAAGGGGCAGAGCAGGAGGGTCCATGCCCTTCTGGCTCCTAAGTGACCTTCATGCCTGTGGAGTGTGGACTAGATAGAGCCATGTGACAAGGCATTACAAATGGATTTTGCACAGGTAGATTTCATCGTCCATCTTAGCCAATTTTCCTAATTGATTGGGAGGGCTGGGTGGGCAGTTGATGGGAAGGTCCTGGAGCTAACAGACCTGGGTTTCAATCCCAGCTCAAGAACTTATTAGATGGGTGAATCTGGGCACATTATTTAACTACTCTGAACTTCAGTTCACTCCCTTATAAAATGGAGATGTAACAACTTCCCAGAATTGTTGTGAGGGGTATGTTAAGTCCCTCACTTTCTCTCCTGGGCTGACAGAGGTGAGCAGAGTGGTGGACAACAGAAGTGCAAAACGACTTGAAAACATGGGAGAATCCATTTGCAGACTGGGATATGGAGAGGGTGTGCTGGTCCCCTTTTCCTGCCTAGAATATTTCAGAGCTGAAAGATGGGGAGGGGTGATTCAAGGGCCAAGCCTCTGATTCTGCTCTGGAGCAAGACCACCCTAGGTCTGGATGATGCCTTAGGTTGTTTGGGCCTCTTGTCTTTCATTGTTCAGCCAGGTTCACTGGGATAGGAACCTGGAGCTGTGCCAGTCCTGGTTTAGAGGAATTAGTTGCATAATTGCCTTGGATTTAATGGGAAAATTTAAGGCCTCTTGGACCTGTTGATAATAATAACCCTCCTTATGACTACCCAGTGTGGGAGGAGTGAGGAGAGTCACCTCCAACTGCCTTCAGAACACCACCACCTTTTCATGTGTTCTGAGGTTTCTGCTTTCCTCTTGACAAGGTTCAAGACCCTTTTGCACACGTGTTAGGGGATGAGGACCCTGCTTTCCTGCAGAGTCTGTGAGTTAAGGGCACTACAGCTCCTAGGCCGCCCTGCTCACCCCAGACTGAGGCCTCATTGCCTTCTGGGACAATCAGACCAAGGCTTTTACTGGAGAGCTCATAAAACTTGTTAAGGATCAAGAACTAGATAAAGTTCCAATTTTGTCACCCTGAGATAATCTTGTATTATTGTACCTGAAAACAGTATTGAAACACAGATCTCATTGTGACACCCCTGGTTAAAAACAATGTTAATCCCCTGCTACCTAAAAGACAAAATTTCAGCTATTCAACGTGGCATGTAAAATAGGCTGCAATTAGGCCTGCCACATAAAATATTCAGTTATTATTTTGCTATAAATACTTCTCATTTGGATAATGTTTTACAGTTTATTTGTACATTTTGCATTTAATCTTTGTCAATCTTATGATATTGTTCTTGTTCCCACTTTGTAGTTGATGGCCCAAAGTTTAGGGAAGTTAAAAGGAATTTGTCCAAGATCAGGTGGCCACAATAAAGTCAAACTAAGCACAGGGTATAAATTAGTGCTCACTTGCTACTTCCTCACTGTATGACCTTGAACAAGTTTATTTATCTATAAAGAATCAGGGATAATACAACAAACTTGTAAAGTTTTTGTGAGGATTAGATGAGAGAATCCAAGCAAAGTGCTTGGGGGAATGCCTGGCACATAGTAAGTGCTCAGAAAATGTTGGGTATTATTACGATACTCTATTTTAATTGTTCCACAATTAATGTTTTCAGTTTTTAATTCCACTATTATAAGTAACACTGTTATAATGATCTTTGTCCAAATAGTTTATTTTTTCTGTTGTATTATTTCCTTGGATTATATTCCAAGAAAAGCATTGCTAGGTCAAAAGATACGATCCTCTTTTTTTGCCTTTGTTCCATATTGCCAACTAGCCCTTTAGAAGGATGGTTCCCATTTAAAAGGCTGCTACTAGACCCATGAGAGTGAACTCTCTCCCACTGGTGGTACTTCTGTGCAACCTCTCAGCCCATCAGAGGGCATATACCAGTCATTTATCAGTCATTGAGGATTATAATTATCACCTTTCAAAAAGACCAACAGATCCTAGACTGGTTGGAGCCAAACTTTATAAACTAGGTTGTGCCTACAGCAAGACATAGGACCCGGCTAATCAGCAAACTGTACTAAAAACTCTAGGAATGGCTGACCTCTCAACTCACTTTCTGTAGGGCTCTGTGGGAGTCTTTGCATGTACACAGCAGGTAGATAAGAAGGAGTGGTGTTGGGGGAGGCAGGAGTTGCTTATGAGCTGTGGACCTGAGGACTGTAGGGAGGAAGACTGTATGGGAACCATGTGTGGCTTCAGACTTTTTATGTAGGAGAGTGTATGCATTTGTTTGGGTTGTGTAACAAAGTACCACAGCCAGGTGGCTCAAAACAATGGAAATTCATTTTCTCACAGCTCCAGAGGCTGGAAGTCTGAAATCAGGGGTTCAAACAGAGTCAAGCTTTCCTCTGAAGGTTCTGGGAGGATCCTTCCTTGACTCTTCTGGCTTCTAGTGGCTGCCAGCAGTCCTTGGCATTCCTTGGGTGCATGTGTATCACTCCAGTCTCTGCATCCATCTTCACATGGACTTCTCCCCTCTGTGTCAGTGTATGTTCACATGATGTCCTCCTCTCTGTGTGTCTGCGTCCAATGCATCCAAATTTCCTCCTGGTTTTTTTTTTTTTTTTTTTGGATACTAGTCATTGGATTAAATCCCATCCTAATTCAGTATGACTTCATCTTAACCTGATTATATCTGCAAATACCCTATTTCCAAACCAGGCCACATTCACAGGTACCAGAGGTTAGGACTTCAATAAGATTTTTGGGGGGACACACTTCAACCCATGACAGATGGATTGGGAAGAGAAAATGGAACATGTCCATTTTTCATATCACAGACTACACCGTGGATGGGGCTGTTGGTGGAGAAAATTATGGACAGTGGTAGTGTCACTGGTGGGAATGCTGGACAGTTGTCTGGGGCCAGTGCTGCTTCTGTTCTTGGCCTCCCCAGCCCCACTTACCCTAAGGATTTGTCACAAAACTAGTCACTGATAAGTATTAGGTGCTTCTAGCTGGGATGATGCAGCCATAGCAGAAAGAGCTTAGCCACCGAGGGAAAGGGGTGTTCTAGGAGCCAGTGGGGAGTCATAGAAATAACGGGACTGGGCAGACATGCAGATCTCAGGTTAAGTCTCAGGCTACCTGGAACACCATGGCCTCAGTTTCCCCATTGAAGGGTGAGGAGGGAGGGACTGCATAGCTTCTGACGTCCCTTTCTGTTTGGCATTATATAATTCTAACAGGAGAGGTAACATTTTAGAGACACCCAAGCTCCTTGACTCTAAGGGTTGTCCTGAGGTCTGTCTGGGTGACGAGGTGTGAGCAGCTGATATGGGTGGGTACTGGGGAGGGGACAATGTGGTATTTTCCATCCCAGGTCTTTCCAACAAGACTTTATTCAAGTCACCTCTCCATGAGGCCTTTCCTGGCCTCTCTAAAATTTCAACCTCATCCTGATATTTCATGTCCCCTCTTTCAGTTTTAATTTTTCTCCTTATACTTATCCCCTATCCAACATGGTTTACATTTTATGTATTTTCCTCACTAATTGTCTGTTTTTCCCACTAAACAGTAAGCTCCTTGAGGGCAAGGATTTTTATCCAATTCTAAAATAATGCCTATCACATACCAGGCACTCCATACGTATTTGTTGAATAAATGAAGATGTGGTAAACTTGATAAATTGGGTGAAAATTTAAAGGGGGTGTACCAGTTATATTCTTTGAAAGGTCTCAATCCTCCCTGGCTCCAGCCCCCTAGCCAAGACTGCCCAGGGTCCTGCCATAAGTAGCACCTATTTCTGCAGGGTTTGTTCCAGTCATCAATTGCTGGGAGAAAACTCTCCCAAACAGTGGCATAAGACAACAATCATTTTGTTATGCTCTGGGGTTCTGTGGGTCAGGAATTTGAACAGGACACAGTGGGAATGGCTTGTGAAGACCTGAAAAGCTGAGGTGACTCAAACAGCTAGGGGCTTGGATCATTTGGAGGCTTCTTCACTTACCACCTGGCTTCTAGACTGAGACAACTTGAAGGCTGGGCTCAGCTGGGATACCTGGAGCCAGAGTGCCTACATATGGCCTCTCCATGTGGCTTGGGCTTCCTCACAGCATGGTGGCTGGGTTTCTGGAGCAAGTGTTCCCAGAAGGAGCATTCCATGAGAGCCAGGTGAAGACTCCCTGGTCTTTTATTACCTGGCCTCAGAAGTCACATAGTGTTGCTTTTTGCCGTACTCTGTTGATCAAAGCAGCCATAAGCCTGCACCTTGGTAGGAGGAGTGTCAAAGATTTTGAGACCATGTTTTAAAACTGCCACAAGAATCTTACCACTTTCTCACCGGTCTCAATCTAAAGTTAACCTGAAGTAAAAATCTGCCACCTTCAGATCAGGACTTATGGTGAATTATACCTGTTCTCTACCTCACTCTTCACTAATGGAGCTTCTTCAGGACAGAGTCTGCCATGTTTGTTTTTTGAAGCACCTAGCACATTATCTGGCACACAATAAGTACTAAGCAAGTTAGCAAGCAAGTGAATGAATGCACGAACACAGGGAATGGGTGTTTTCTGTGGCTGGCTTAGCACTGCTAAGTAGCTACAGGAAGACTTGAAACTCCTGTCTATTAAGGCCAAAGTTTTCTAACCAGTTTCCATTCATATTCTTCACTGCTGAAAGCTGTGGGTTAGGAATAGATTCCTGTGGAAGAGACATGAGTATGGAGATAGAAGTTGTATGGTATGTTAGGGAATACTGGTAATCTGGTTTGATGATAGCTAATAATTTCTGTATTTTCCTAGGACAATGGCAGAATAAGGCTAGAATGTAAGGGCCTTGTTACAGGACACTGAGTATGGATATTATTCATTAATGAAGAGTCATCAAATATTGTTGAGCAGCAGAGTACATGTAATAGGAGCTGTGAACTAGGAAGATTGACTTGCCAGTGACATTCAAACCAGATTGGAGTAGGGAACCCCACAGATAGGCAAAACAGAGATTTGAAATCCAGGTATGTAACCAGGGCCTGAACCAAGCTAGAAACTGCAGGAAAGCCAGCAAGGGGAGGGATGTGAGTGATTGTGAGGTTAGCAGGTGTTTGGGCCCATGTGAGAGGTGACAAAAAAGAGAATGTAAAAGATGATGCAACAATCACATATATGTAGAGATGGAGTCTGTCACTCAAGCTAGAGTGCAGTGGTTGCAGTCTCGAACTCCTGGGCTCAAACGATCCTCCTGCTTTTAGCTTCCCGAGTAGCTGGAGCTACAGGCACATGCCACCGTGCCTGGCTAATTTTTTTACTTTTTGTAAAGACAGGATCTCACTATGTTGCCCAGGCTGGTCTCAAGCTCCTGGCCTCAAGCAATCCTCCTGTCTCAGCCTCCCAAAGCACCAGGAACACTCTTACTTTGTAGGGACTAATTTCTATAATTTTGTTATAAAAATTTTCAAGTATACAGCAAAGTTTAAACACATGTATGGTGAATACATATATTCCCTCCACCTAGATTCTAAAGTTAACATTTTCCTGTATTTGTTTTATCACCTATCTGTCCATCCTTCCATCGTCAATCAGTCCATCTTGTTTTTGTGATATGTTTAAGTCACAGACATTAGGAAATTGTACATTCCCCTAAATACTTAAGCATGCATACCATTACCTTGAGTTGAATATTGTTTACGTTATTTTTTCTTTTGAGGTAAAACTTATTTATAGTGAAATGAACAAATCTTAAGCATACCATTGGATGACTTTGGACAAAAGCATGCACCTGTGAAACCCAAACCCCTTTCAAGATTTGGACATTACCATCATCCTACAGAATTCCTTTGTATTTCTTTCCAATTTCTGTCCCCACCCTCCAGATGCAACCATTATTCTAATATTTAAGGCACAGATTTGTTTTGTCTCTCCTAGAACTTCACATAAATGAAATTGTATGGTATATATTCTTTGGCTTAATGTTTCTTTCATTTGGCCTGTTTTTGAGATTTATCCATGTTGTTTTGTGTATCAGTCCGTTCCTTTTAATTGCTAAAGAGTATTTTGTTTATGGCTATACCACAGTTTACTTATCCCATTTCCAGTTTTTGGAAAAAAAGTTGTTTCCAGTTTGGCTATTATGAATAAAGCTGCTATGAATATTTTTGTATAGGTCTTTTTGGGTAGACATATGTTTTCATTTCTCTTGGGTAAATATCTAGGAGTGGAATTGCTAGGTCATAAGATGAGTCTATGTTTAGTTTTGTAAGAAACTGCCAAAGTGTCTGTTTCCACATTTATACACCTATATTTCCAATGTATCAGAATCTAGTTGCTTCACATCGTCATCAACATTTGGTATTGTCAGTCTTTTTAATTCTAGTCATTCTTGTGGATACTGCTATGGCAGTATCCTATTATAGTTGTAATTTGCATTTCCCTAATAATTAAGGATATTAAGCGCTATTATGTGCCTATTGGCCATTTATGTATCTTTCTTTTTGAAATATTATTCAAGTATTTTGCCCATTTAAAAATTTGAATTGTCTTTTTATTGTTGAGTTGTAGGAATTTTTTATTCTGAATACCAGTTCTTTATCAGATACGTGATTTGCAAACATGTTTTTCTAATTTGTAGCTTGCCTATTCATTTTCTTTCTTAGAGCAGAAGTTTTACCTTTTTTTTTTTTTTTTTTTGGCAAGGCTATTTTTTTTTCTGTGTCCAAAGAAACTTTTACCACCCCCAAAATTACCAAGATAATCACCATTTTCTCATCTAGAAGCTTTATAACTATAGTTTTTATGTTTAGGTTTGTCATCCATCTCAAATTAATTTTTGTGTATAGTGTGAAGTAGGGATCAAGATTTCTTTTTTGCCCCTGTGGATATCCGTTGTTCTAGCCCCATTTGTTGCAAAAACACCTTCCTTTTTGTTAGGTACTGTTTTTATTCTCTTGCAGAGGAAGAAACTGAGACAGAGCTAGGTTAAGTAACCACACCTGGCAGAGACAGATCCAGGATTTGAACCCAGGCAGTCTGGATGCAGAGCCCGTATTTAAACCACTGTGTTATAATAACCCTTCTTACGTGGATGACAGGTTTTCAACGTGAGTGCAGGCAGCTCAGTGTAAAGCCCTGGTAGGGAATTCAGGAAGCAGGGGAGTTCAGTTTGGGATTGAGCTGGGGAGCCCATGGGATACCTGAGTGGGCACAGTGGGGAGAAGATAGAAAAAAGACGGAAAAACTTGGAAGAACAAGTAGGGGAGAAGGGAGGTGGGGGCTGCTGAAAGGGGATGTTATTAAGCCTAACCTGGATTTCACCTTTTTTATTTAGCATCAGGGGATTGGTTCTCTGTCATATCAATCCTGGTCTAGAAGAGTCATGAAATAGGCAAGATACAGCTAGTCTAAATCTTTTGAATTTAGGTAGTAAGGGTGACATGAGCAAGAGTCATAAAGCCAGAGAAGATAAATAGATTAAGTAGAGGTAGGGAAAGTCAGCAAGCATCATGTTTAGGATGCCTACTCTCTGTTAGACAGACCTGGCTTCAGGTCTTCATCCAGGCCTTGCAGCTCACTCTGTGATCTCAGGCAAGTTACTTCATTTCTGTGCCTCATTTTTCCTCATCTGTAAAACAGAGATAACACCAACCTCACTGAATTAAAATAGACAATGGATTTAAGGCACTTAGAATAGTAGCTCAATAATGGTGTGTCAGCTATTTTAAGATTCAGTATTTTAAGAATGTGGTCAAGGCCCAGAAATATAGTAGACCCTCAGGAAAACTTGCTGAATACACAGATGAACTACAGGGACACAGGATTCTCCAGTTTAAATTGTGTAACTGCATAGTTTTAGCACAGATGGCCATGAAGTTACAGTAAGAAGCTAGGACCATGAGCTGAGCTGGTCTCTAAATACTCAAGGTGGTGCAGGAGGCAGCCCAGACTGGTGACGCTGAGCCAGCATGGCCTTAGAGCCTTCCTTAGGAAGGGCACTGACTGCTGGCTCGGATTCCAATGGAGCCCCCACGGGCCTGGAGCTCTGGAGTGGGCAGGGAAGGTGCTTCTGCTCTGAGTGAACAGAGAGCTCCCTGACAGCAAGCATGAGGATACTCCTGCCTGCGGAAGGGGTGACACCTCAAGTGTATTGTTGCCCAGATGGCCCACAGAAACCCATGTCTATCCCTGGTTTTGATGACTATGTCCTGATCTAGCCCCACTTCTAGAAAAGCCCATTTAAATGGAGTTTGTAGGATTGACATTTTGAGTCCAGTCCACTCTCCATATAGGCAGGAAGCAGAGTCAATTAAGTACTTGTCAAGTACCTGCTGGGGTACCTGTTGAGACTCTGTGCTGGATTAGGACACTTGTTTTCCTGCCCACCGGGAGCTCAATGTAGTTAGTGAATGACACACTTAAAGAGGTATGTGGTATATGCCAGATGTAAATGGCCAAAGACAGCTTGGGCAGAGTCATATGGATAAATGCTTTCTACAAGGGTTGTTACACTAATGCTAGACATTCAGGCCCTCTGGCGTCTACTCCAGCTCCAGTACCTTCTCCCTTCCAACAGTAATAACTGATATTTGAGTGTTCACTGTGAGGGCAGCACTTTAGAGCTGTTAACTAAGGTTCTCCTTATGATGACCCCATGAGGGGAGCTCTGTTAGTACCTCTGTATTTAAGATGAGGGATCTGAAGGACAGACACCTACAGGCTTCTACAGGCGCATTGCTGGTGAGCGATGGTGCTGGGTGTGAACCCAGCTGTCTCGCTGCAGAGCTTATCTTGGTAGGCCCTCGGGGCTGCTTGGCTAGTTTCTTTTTCAAATATAGAGCAGGAAGGAGGATGATTGACATTTTCTTTCATGATCTCAACATGCAATCACACAGTGTCCAATCAGTTTTTTTTTTTTGTTTTTTGTTTTTTTTTTGAGACAGGGTCTCGCTCTATCGCCCAGGCTAGAGTGCAGTGGTGCCATCTCAGCTAACTGCAGGCTCCGCCTCCCGGGTTCACTCCTTTCTCCTACCTCAGCCTCCCAAGTAGCTGAGACCACAGGCGCCCGCCACCATGCCCGGCTAATTTTTTGTATTTTTAGTAGAGACGGGGTTTCACCGTTTTAGCCAGGATGGTCTCAATCTCCTGACTTCGTGATCCTCCCTCCTCAGCTTTCCAAAGTGCTGGGATTACAGGTGTAAGCCACTGTGCCCGGCCTGTGTCTAACCAGTTTTTACCTAAATATGGCCCCCTATGCATTTTACTCTGACACTGGCTCAGCTAAAATATTCTTAATTTCAGAAGAAGAAGCAACAAGACAGAACTACTGTGTTTATTGACCAATTTAGGCTGTCTCAGGGCACAGCTCTGAGGATGGGAGCACACTGAGTACTTTAACGATCCACGGCAAGGTGACAGCATCTTGGGCTCAGACACAAGAATTATTCTCAGACAGGGCTTTTTTCAGTGCCATAAATTTAAGCAGCTGGAATTCTTTTCCATCCTATTCAACCTCCTGAAGTGAAGAATTTTGCCTTTTATTGGGAAATCTGCATTTCATTGTATAGCTAGAACACTATGTCCTTGGCTCCCTGATCCTCTAGAGAAGGTGGGTCTTTATTTTATTCCAGGTTCTGGGTGTCGTTAGGCTCAAATACCAAAAAGTCTCTTTCAGCATGAGAAGCTAGAGACACAGCAGTGCCCTGATCAAAGAATTCGAGCAGCCAGCTGTCCACCCCAGTGCAACGCAGGCCTTGTACACAGGGTGTAGGGAAGAACTGCAGGTCTAGGAGACAGTGATGCTGGTTGCTCAGCATCATGGCTCCCCCTACACCTCTGGTCTGGAGCCGTGTGCCGGGCCTGCCAGGGCGTGAGCACTGCTCTGCTGTCTGCAGAATCAAAGGAGGGTATTTTAACCAGCATAACAGAAGGCATCATCCCAGTCACTGATGTCCTTCAAAATAACCTTCTTCAGAAAGTATATACTTATGCTAGTGATGATGCCATTGCTCAGAATGTTTTTGGAATTTCACTTTTAGAATTGTGTTTAGTTTAGAATCATGCCTTTTTCCTTCCTTCTGAGGGGGAGTTTTTTTTTTTTCTAACTGCGTCTGAAAATATTAAAGAATCCATCACTTAAAAATTTATATATGTATCTGTTTTTTTTGTATCTGTTACCTAAAGGGGAAATTACTGGCAGCAATTTGATCCCCACACGTTACCAGAAACAGATACCAGTCATTTAAACTTTCGTGAACCTCATGGGTAATACACGCTATCTCATTGTTAATTTGTGCTTACCACTACTGAGGTTGGACATGTTTCCATGTATTTTGGCTATTTGTGAATTGTTTGTTCTTGTCCTTGGCTCATTTTTCTATTAAACGATTTGTCTTTTACTCCTTGAGCTATAGAAGCTCTTCATATGATAGTGGTATATGGACAGTTCTTTTAATATCTTGTGTTGTGACACAGCTTCATCTTTTGAACATAAATTAGATTTTTGGAAATGCATGGCTTGTGACTGATTAAGTCAGGCTAAAGTGACTTCAGCAATGTTATTTCAGTACCCATGTCTGGAAGGACTTAAACTTGTCACGGACTTGGAGTCAGATGTAATCAGGAATAGACAGACTGTGTTGGAGGTGTGATTAGGATGAGTAATTGACTAGTTGAGAAGCTGATGAAAACTTCATGTATACATACCTAAAACATTTTAACTTAAAACATATAATGTTAAACATTTAGTTGCCAAACTTTCACCATGGGACCCAACTGGGTTTACAAATGGGAGCCTATGTTATCTTACTTGTTTGCTCTATGCCTGTAAGGCATTTTCTGCACATTCCAGTTTGAATCTTTTTAGTGTAGAATGGAATTTAGGCACTTTGAAAGCCATTAGAATGCAGAACTCTTTTAGTTTTTATAATTTTTCCCTGTTTTTTACAGTTGTCCCATCCAAACCTAATTCAATAGTAATTTTTTTAACAATTCATTTCTATCATTTAACTTTCACAGAAACAGATCTTTTATATTCACATTTAATCACTTTATATACTATTTAAATTATATGTAAATTTAGTGTTTCAATTTCAATAATAAATACAATGGGCATAACCGGTTTTAGGGACAAGCCAGCTGACTCTTCGTAAGCACACAGCTCTCCTGGATGAAGCCAGTTTGGTAGGAAGAGAGCTGTTAATATGAGTGAACAGATACATTTTAGTGAAAGGAGGCTGCTATGTTTTGGACGTCCGCTCCAAAACTCATGTTGAAACTGGGTCCCCAGTGTGTCAGTGTTGAGAGGTGGGGCCTTTGGTGGGGGTGATTAGGTCATGTGGGCTCTGCCTTCATGAATGGATAAATCCATTCATGGATTAATGGATTAATAGGTTAATGAATAGATTAATCCATTCACAGATTAATGTGTTAATGGATTAATGGCTATCAAGGGAGGAGAACTGGTGGTGTTATAAGAAGAGGAAGAGAGCCTTGAGCTAGCATGGTCAGCATACTGCACTGCCTCAGGAATCTTAAGAGTCCCCACCAGCAGGAAGGTTCTTACCAGATGTAGCCTCTCGACCTTGTACTTCTCAGCCTCTGTAATTGTAAGAAATACATTTCTTTCTTACTCCTTAGTTTCTGGTATTCTGTTATAAGCAACAGAAAATGGACTAAGAGGCCTATGGCTATCTCAGGCTGTCTGGGGACCTAAGAGACAAAGGGAATGGGTGAAAGGTTAGAATCACATTTCTGGAGAACCTAGTCCTATTTTCCTTTCCTTAGTACTTTGAGACCTCTCCCACTCTGGAGACCTCTCAGTTCTCCCAAGCTGCACTCCACATTTTTCTGTCTATGAAACCATCTTCAGGTCCAAGGACAATACCACAGGATCTGGGCACTATTGCAAGTGATAAACATAAGCATGACAAGCAGATAGCTCCCAAGAGCCTCTGTAGCAGGAGCAGCAGCAAGAAAACTACCAACCCTTAGGGCACTGAAGATGGCCCAGAATCCAATACCAGCGGGTACCCAAAAGTCCTTTGTCCTTCGGTTTACATTATGCCCGTGGCTGAGAGTCATCAGGCCATAGGCCCCAAGTGCAAGTGGGAGGGTTGAAGTGCAAGGGAAAATTAATATATACAGGCCAGGGTGACAGGCCCAGTGTAGGCTATTAGGCTGGATTTGCCCCAGGATTGAAAACTTAGTTAGGGCCATAGCCCATGACACACAATTTTTTTTTTCTTTTTTCTTTCTTTCTTTATTATTATTATACTTTAAGTTTTAGGGTACATGTGTACAATGTGCAGGTTAGTTACATATGTATACATGTGCCATGCTGGTGCACTGCACCCACTAACTCGTCATCTAGCATTAGGTATATCTCCCAATGCTATCCCTCCCCCCTCCCCCGACCCCACAACAGTCCCCAGAGTGTGATGTTCCCCTTCCTGTGTCCATGTGTTCTCATTGTTCAATTCCCACCTATGAGTGAGAATATGCGGTGTTTGGTTTTTTGTTCTTACGATAGTTTACTGAGAATGATGATTTCCAATTTCATCCATGTCCCTGCAAAGGACATGAACTCATTATTTTTTATGGCTGCATAGTATTCCATGGTGTATATGTGCCACATTTTCTTAATCCAGTCTATCATTGTTGGACATTTGGGTTGGTTCCAAGTCTTTGCTATTGTGAATAGAGCCGCAATAAACATACGTGTGCATGTGTCTTTATAGCAGCATGATTTATAGTCCTTTGGGTATATACCCAGTAATGGGATGACTGGGTCAAATGGTATTTCTAGTTCTAGATCCTTGAGGAATCGCCACACTGACTTCCACAATGGTTGAACTAGTTTACAGTCCCACCAACAGCGTAAAAGTGTTCCTATTTCTCCACATCCTCTCCAGCACCTGTTGTTTCCTGACTTTTTAATGATCGCCATTCTAACTGGTGTGAGATGGTATCTCATTG